>NC_000008.11:14405557-14708587 GCF_000001405.40 Homo sapiens | reverse complement strand
CAAGTTGGTCAGGGACAGGCTCAGGCATGTCAGAAATCTCAGATATTATATACACAGAAGAATCAGCAATAAATGGCAAATGTCTGTATCTGAATGTTTATTGCTGTGGGTTGAAAAGTAGGTCAAAAATATCCAAATGATTAAAAAAAAAAAGAGAACATATGGGAGTGACTGCCTGTTTTTAAAATATATTCATCTGGGATTGGTTTTAATGATTAAATCTCTTTATGTAAAATATTTTTACAAATAATAGATATTTACTATCTCAAGAGATTTCTGTGCATAAATTAATATTCTATGAAAAAGGCACAACTGCATACCTAACGTGAAGAAATTGAATGTACTAATATGTTGCAAAATAGTCTACTCTGGGGTTTATATTTTATAATTTAAAAATTATTGTAGACAAAATCGAATGAAAATTGAAAGTCTAATTAAAATATAATTTAATTAAAATTTAAATTAAATTTGAATTTATAGAAAAATTAACTTGAAATTATGGTAGAAAAAACATTGTAGAAATCTGGACATTTGGGTTTTGATAATATAACAAATATTATTTTGTTGCATTTCCTTTAGTTGCTTTCCTGATCTCTCTTTTGTCCTACATGTTTGTTAATTATAGTACATATATTTGTGCTTGATTCTCTGAACCCCAAATCATACCCATTTTCCATTTACATTATTTTAATGATTGCATGCTATTGTTAATATATTTTAAATTCGAGTTAATCAAACTGAAGTTAAACTCAATTGTGTCAAAAATTAATTGTGATTTATTTTGCCACAGGTAAAATGACAATAGGAATGAGACATGGTCCAAGGCTAGCCAGACGGGCTTGTTCCTTCATTATTCTTTCTAACAATTGTTCATTTTTATTTGCTCTCAAATAAATGCTGTGTAATGGCTAGAGTTTTAGAAGTGTTTTTATGGTTTAAAGTAAGGAAATTGTAACAGACAAAGAAGCAATCTTTGTTGTACTCATTCTGAAGATAAAAACCAAATCACCAAAAAAAGTATTTGTGAATTAGCCCACCATTCAGTCTTTTATAGACGTAGATTTGAGGTTCTTTTGTTTTTTATGCTGATCGATTCCTGAGCAGTAGTTGGAGCTGAAATGGGAAATTTGAAGACTGGTTTTGCTATTCTTTCTCCTTGTTTTGGGAAATCTTAATTTTGTTCACATGTTCTACAGCTGTTTCTAAAACATTTTCCATTACTAACATCGTTTGTTAAATTTTCTAATGGCTGAATACATGTGTACACACATCAAGAGCTCACTGACTTTTTAAAAAAGAATTGACTATGTATGTTCTCACTCATAGGTGGTAATTGAACAATGAGAACACATGGACACAGGAAGGGGAACATCACACACTGGGGACTGTTGTGGGGTGGGGGGAGGGGGGAGGGTTAGTATTTGGAGATATAGGTAATGCCATAACGAGTTAATGAGTGCAGCACACCAACATGGCACATGTATATATATGCAACAAACCTGCACGTTGTGCACATGTACCCTAAAACTTAAAGTATAATAATAATAAAATTTTAAAAAAAAGATTTTAAATAAACTTTCACTCCTGCTCTTAAAAAAAAAAAAAAGAATTGACTAAATGACAACATAAAGTTTTGTAATTAATCTGAAAATTTTCTTCTAAATAATAAGAATTTCTGGCTGTATTTTACATTTATAATAAAACCGTTTATATACTTAGGAAGAGATTTGAATCAAACTAACCGTCAGCTGGTTCTGATAAGCACATGAGAGTCATGTGCTGGTAAAAGTATAATATTGTCATATTACCATTGCTAAACATTATACTTAAAGTAACTTAAAAACGCTTACTACTTTAGTGTTAGTATTATAAGAATAAATCATTTTAACGCATCAGTGTGTTTGCTTCTACCATTGCTAGCTACAACCTGGTTTCTAGTATAGGAGTCCCACAACTTGGCTCAGGCTATGGGATTATAATTAAAGAGTTAGAGCTTCAAATTCCAACTTAGAATTACTGGACTTGATAAACTCTAATGTCCTATTCAACTTGGCTATTAAGAATATGAAATGGACGAACTCTGGAAATACTTGGCAAAGGTTTACACATGTGTCTACAATCAAAAAGGCATAGAATAGAGTCACTGAAAATAATTTAATTCCTATAGAGCTTAAGAACATCCTTAAGTGAAATTGAATATTACATATGGGAAAATGTTGGCTTTTCTAAACATCATAGAGATTTCACATAAAACACAATTGTCAAAAAGAATCCCAATAGTGAGTTTGAAATTTGATTAGTTTAAAGAGCGTGAACTAGATTTTGTTTTATTCTGGTTTTAAAAAGGGCAGTGTGATGTGGATTCATCTAATTTTTTTTAATTCAAAACTCATTTAGGATAAATGATGATACATGATATATTCCTAATTTACAGATAAGATTTCATTGAAGACTAAAAGCTATTAGACCATGGGGGGGAAAATTCTAGATTTTGGAGGAAAAATAGGGTTCTTCAGCAAGGAGTCATGGTGCCCAATAAAAGAAAAATAAATTTCTTTTATATTTTGTATTTCTAGACTATTATTTATTTCTATTATGATTCTAAGCTATTCATTCAACAAATAATTATGGGATAACAGGAGTTATGAATGAATCCCTATCCTTATACAACTCCTATCCTGGTGGGGAAGAGAGACTTTCTCTAAAAATATAGTGATTCGTGTTCAGAAAGTTACAATGGATTACAATTTATTCAAAGTTCTATGTACTGAATAAAAAAGGGTAAAAATATTGGCCTTATGCCGAATTAATTATTCAGAAAAACTGTTTTCCAAAGATGTTTTTACTATGTTCTATTTCAGAACCTCTGCTTCCTAGAATTTCATGTAATCAGTGCAAGTAATCTGAAGACATCAATGACTCTTAGATACACACTTAGGCAATTAGGGCTGTAAAACACAGCATTCATTTGGAAAACAAATGCATAATAATTCTCTAGGAAAATAGAAACATTTTGATCTATTAAATTGCTTCAAAACTATGATGAGATTAATTGAGAGTCATCGGAGACAAGGTTTGCAATGCAGTAATACTCTATTTTTCTTATATGGCAGGCATTTTACCTTTTATCACTACTCAAGACACATTTTATAGATGAGGAAATGGAAATTCAGAAAGATTTAGTAATTTGATTATAGTCACATAGTCACATAGATAGTCCATGTATCATACAGAAAAAAATCACAAATGACTGTCAAACTTCAAAGTGCCTGTTCTTCATAATCCTGTTAACAAATAGACAAAAACCCTTTATGCCTATACTGATTGTTCTTAAACACCATGTAGTCCATGTTCCCCACCAAGGTTACATATTGACCACCAAAAATATTCAACTAAATCATTAGAATTTGCTTTTGTTCTTGTTATGAGGTGCATAAGGTCTAAAAAGGGGTGTTGAAGGAACCCTTAACTAGGCACTGCTAATCTTCATTTGGACAGTTTTCAACTTTAGAACTGGAAAAAAGATCAGCTTCGAAATTAACAATAAAAATCTGTGGTTTGGTGGCTATTAATATCAATATTTTCTAATAAATGTCAATTTCAAAGTTATAAAAGTAATCAGACTTTTTATATGTTTTAGCTATTACCAGTGAACAAAACATTGACTGATAGTTGCATCGATTCTTATAGTGCTTTTGAATGAAGCGAGTTTGGCTTGCTTACCAATATATTTGTGATGCCCAGTATTTAGTTTATCCCTAAGAAGTGTTTTGTTGTTGTTGTTGTTTGTTTTTTTGTGTTTTTTAAAGAGGAGTAGAAGGAAGGGAGTAGCATCTTAAAAAGTGTAATGGCATTGGAAAAAACACTTAATAAACTGAGTCAAGCATTTTATACAAGTATATGCAGCTGGGTTACACCACAATTCTCTGTAGCAGACTTGCTTTCCTTTTAAAGATGGAGAAAGTGAGCCTTTGAGAGATTAACTGCCCACAGTCACAGCTACCACATGACCTGGTGTTAATTTCATTTCTATCTGACTTCAAAGTACATGATTCTGAAAAACACACCTTTCTCAGCTGTAATAATCATTAAGGTGAATTAATAAGGTATCTTTGAAATTTGACAAGAAAGAAAAATATTGCCTTTTGAAAAACTTATCAAAATTTAATTTGGAATATAAAAGAATGACTTTAAAAGAGCATTATTAAGTGAACATACATGTGTGAGTTAGTTATAATTTCAAAAAAATGATTACATTGATTTGGTTTTTCCAGATGGGGATAAAAAATAGCTATGTTAAAGAAACTGAATTAAAGAGAGCATTTTGAACACTCAACATAGGTCTTGGCAAGAGTTACTGCTATTATTATTAGCTTACTAACACTTTTTAAACATCTATGAGTATGCATAGCTGTACGACCATGAACTAGTTACCCCAGGACTAAAATCAAGATGTCAGAATATGTGCTGGATAATATTTTAGTGTCGTAACGGACATGATTCCTGATTTCTTATGCTGATACATCCAACATTGAGTAAGTATAACTGAGAGGCTATGTGGGCTAATTTCTCATGAAGAAGAAAGTAGAGAAAGAATCACAATTATTAAAGCATCAATTCAGTTCACTGACATCTCGCTGCTTCAGAAAAATTAGAGGGAAAATTCCTGCTCATTAAACTTCAGAGCCACCATAACAAATTCTAATGAGTTGCTTATTAAATTAGCAATTTTCTATAACTGGCATGAGTCGTCAACTTCTCTTTCATTCTCAGTTTTCAGATTAATAACTAAAAGCCCAAATTGCTTGACATGGCTCTTCAATCAAACTTAGTGTTATTAAGAGACCACAGCCACTAAAGTCATTTTACACAAGTGAAGCACAGTATTTCCGGAAACACTGGTTTTCTGCTGTCCATAAAGGTTTTAGAAATATACAAGAATGTATAGCTGCAATGAATGCTATACCATAAATTTGCTTATTCAACATATATAGAGTATATACCAAATAGACTAGAATAGAGTTTCTGCCCTTGTGTAGCTGGCATGAAATATATAAGGCAATATTCAGCAATATGAGGAAAAGATAAAGCAATGTGAGAGTTGGAGAGTGTTGACAGTGACTCCCTAGATTCTCTAGATAGGGAAATCTCTCATATGGTCTGACACATGAGTAGGAATTCTAATAAAAAGACTAAGTCGTGCAAATATGTGGAATACAGACCACCCAGGCAAAGAAGGGAACACACACCCTGAGGCAAAATTGTCCTTGGGATTTACAGGAAGCAACAGGATGTCAGTGTAGACAAGAAGAGTGAGCAAAGGGGTTGACGGTAAGAGATGAAGTCAAGAAAGAGCCAGAGCCACCAGATCACTGCATGTATGAAAGTAAATATTGTGAATTGTGCTTTCATTGTGATAGGAAGCCATGGAATGTTCTGAATAGGGTGATAACATCATGTGATGTATCTTTAAAAGAATATATTAATTGCTCTTACAATGTACTATTGGAAACAAGTTAACAGTCCAGAGGGAAAATAATGGAAACTTGCTTCAGGATGGTAGTAATGGAGGAGGTAAGAATTGTTCAAATAAATCTATCTGTCTGTCTGTCTGTCTATCTATCTATCTATCTATCTATCTATCTATCTATCTATCTATCTACCTACCTAACTACCTACCTGTCTGCCTGTCTATCTATCTTTTTATCTATCTATCTATCTATCTATCTATCTATCTATCTATCTATCTATCTATCTATCTATCTATCTATCTACCTAACTACCTACCTGTCTGCCTGTCTGTCTGTCTATCTATCTATCTATCTATCTATCTATCTATCTATCTATCTATCTATCATTGAAGCCAGCAGAATTTGCTGATATATGAACTGGCATTTGAGAGAAAGTCATCAGTGACCCCAAGGTGTTTGACTTGAGCAACTGAGTAAATAGCGGTGTCCTTTATTAAGATGCAGAACACTGAAGGGAGGGTTGGTTGTGGGGGATTGGGTCAATAATTTTGTTTCCAGACATAAATTTGACTTGCCTTTTAGTTATTCATGTGGAAGTATCATGTATAAATAAGAATATACCAGTGTGGAAGTCTAGAGGGGTGCAGAGCTTTGGCTGGAGGGATGTGTTTCCTATTTAGTCGTAGATATAATCTATACACTATAGTAAAGAGGATTACTTAGAAGGGCTGGATTGGATCACTTAAGAAGAGTGTGTGGATAGAAAGCTGAGCCCTTGAGCATTCTAACAATAAATGTCGGCGCAAGAAAAGTGTCAGTAAAGGAAAAACACAGAGAGAAGAAGCAGGCATTAATGTGGGAGGAAAACCAGGAAAGAGATTTCCAAGTGGAAATCAAGGAGGGCATTTCAACAAATAGAAAGTTGAAAGAAAACTGTCAACTGTGTTATTACTTCCAGCGGGGTGGGCAAAGTGAGCACTGAGCATTTATCCCTGAATTTGAAAATGGCGGGGGATTGTCAGGAACATTTTTGTGGAGTGAGGAAGGCAAGAACCTAATGGGAGAATTTTGAATGAGACTGAAGAAGGTGGAGACAGTGCCAGTGCGTGTAAAAATGTTTGAGCGTGACCTTTAAGAGGAGGACATAATTAGGAAATAGCTGGGGGCAAATGTGGATGAAGGGAGGTTTATTAGTTTGTTCGTTTTAAACATGGGATACTATTTCCACATATTTTTAGGTTGATGAGTGATCAAGAAAAGAGAGAAAAAAGGCTGAAAATGAAAGATGGAAGAAATCTTGCTTGGGTGGGTCAATAGAGGTCACATGTTAGTAGGAAGGAGGCAGGGGGTTTGGTAAGAGGTCAGGAGGTGGCAGACCTGATGCTGGTGAGAGAAAGAAGGTCTCATGATTGTGTCTGCTTTCTCAGTGGGACACAGAACAAGACATTGGGCCGTAAGAAAAGAAGAGAAAGCTGCAGGAATAAGGAGAAGGTTTGGATTAGTAGCAGGATAGTTTGTTGACAAACATAATGCTGTAGAGTTACCAGGCAGCACGGACGGCCTGTGGAATTTATGTTATTAAATTTAAAGTGATTGCTGGTTGTTTTCATTCGTCTACATCCATCTGCTTAGAAGTAGACGGTGAGAAGAGAAGTAATTGAAGCAGGGCTGAGGCTTTATTGTGGATGAATAGAGAAAGAAAACAAAAAGTTGTGAGGGAAGAGAGTTGATTTTAATGGTCCTAATATTCTCACCACTCAGGGGAGAGAGAGGTACTTCTGTCAATAAAAGTATGGTTTATTTTTATAAGTTTTATAAATTTTTCCAAAGTGGTTTATAATGGTAAAAGAGTTCAAAACTTGAAATCCTGTAAAGACTTGACTGTTGAACAATCCCATGCTGCAACTACCTTTAGTAATACATATTTATTGTAATGTTTAATTTCCATTTAGTTTCTCAGAGTGCCCTTTTATTTTGCAACAAGATCCATGTAAGGAATTTTGTTCTGGATAGCTTATGCTTCCATCTTATCCTTCCGCAACACTCCAGTTCCTACTTTCTTTCACTAAAACTTTGTAACTCACTTAATTTAAAATATTTTATTTTAAGTATTTTAATTTAGTAAAGTAAGGGATTAACTTCATAATTATGTGAGCCTCTTTATATTTCTTCTTTCTTTCACCTACCTACTAACCTTCCCCCTTTCCTGCTTCTTGCTAACTATTTTTGGAATTTTTTCAGTCCTCCTTTAATAATGCTTTAATAAGCTTTGTTTTCTATCACCTCCCTTTGTGGTGGCAGTTGGCCTTTGATTACAGAGAAGTGATAGTTGCTTAAGTATTAGCTAATTTTTGTGTGCTTTATCATATTCAATAAAATGTTAACATCCAAAATGTTATGTATTTTGTAGTTGCTTGAACATGAACATATTTCCTAAACATTAATCATTTTATTAAATATATGAATATAGTATTAAATTAAAAGGTTGATTTTTGAATCAACTTTTATTTTAGTTTTGGGGGTACATGTGCTGGTATGTTACATGGGTAAATTGTGTGTCACTGAGGTCTGGTGTATGAATGATTCCATCACCCAGGTAGTGAGCATGTACTCAGCAGGTAGTTTTTCAACCCTCCCCCATCTCCTGCCATCCATCCTCTAGTAGTCCTCAGTGTCCATTATTCCTATCTTTTGTGCATGTGTACTCAATGTTTAGCTCCCATTTATAATAGATAACATGTGGTATTTTATTTTCTGCTCCTGCATCAATTAATTTGATTAAGATAATGGCCTCTAGCTGCATCCATATTGCTGCAAAGGACATGATTTCATGTTTTTCTATGGCTGTGTAGTATCCTATGATGTATATACACCACATTTTCTTAATCCATTCCACTGTTGATGGGCATCCAGGTTGATTTCATGTCTTTATTATTGTCAATTTTGCTGCAGCGAGCGTTCTAGTGCATGTATCTTTTTGGTAGAATGGTTGATTTTCTTTTTGGGTATATGCCCTTAATGGGATTGTTGGATAGAATGGTAGTTCTCTTTTAAGTTCTTCGAGAAATCTCCAATCTGTTTTCCACAGTGGCTGAACAAATTTACATTTCTGCCAACAATGTTATAAAAGTTCCCTTTTCTCTGCAACCTCGCCAACATCTGCTATGTTTTGGCTTTTTAATAATAACGATTTTGACTAGTGTGAGGTGGTATCTCACTGTAGTTTTGATTTGCATTTCTCTAATGATTAGTGGTGTTGAGCATATTTTTATATATTCGTTGGCTGCATGTATGTCTTCTTTAAAGAAGTGCCCGTTCATGTCTTTTGTGGTAATTTTGTTTTTTGCTTGTTGAAATTTTTAGGTTCCTTACGGGTTCTGGATATTAGACCTTTGTTGGATGCACAGTTTGTGAAGATGTATTCCCATTCTGTAGGTTGTATCTTTACTCTCCTGATGGTTGCTTTTGCTGTGCAGAAGCTCTTTAGTCTAATTTGGTCCCACAAATCTGTTTTTGTTTTGCTGCAATTGCTTTTGGAAATGTAGCCATACATTTTTTGCCAAGGTCGATGTCCAGAATGGTATTTTCTAGAATTTCTTCTATAGTTTTTATAGTTTTAGGTCTTAAATTTAGATTTTTGATCTATTTTGAGTACATTTTTGCATATGGTAAAAGGTAGAGATTCAGTTTCAATCTACTGCATATGGTAGTCAGTTATCCCTAGCACCACTTATTGAATATAGAGCCCTTTCCTCATTGCTTGTGATTGTTGACTTGCTGAAGATCATATGGTTGTAGGTATGTGGCTTTATTTCTGGGTTCTCTGACCTATTCCATTGGTCTATGTATCTGAAAAGATTGGTATATATATATGCATATATATATGAGATTTATATATTATATATAAATTCAAATTATATATGTGTATATATGTGTGTGTATATACATATTTATATACCCTCTGTTGTTACTATTCAACACTGTTTTAGTGTCCTTTAATTTAAACCTGGGAGGGATCTTCTTAGCTCTATTTTTGTTTGTATAAATTAAAGCTCAAAGAAGTTAGATGATTTTCATAGTATTGGATTATTTATCCCTATTTAATTTTCTAACTTTTATCATAGTTTATTACCGTATTTTATTTCGTATCTTATATACTTATGGCAGCAGGCTCTGTTGGGGTGAGAATCCACTCTTTCAAAGTTTTCACGATTACCCAGATATTTGATCTACCTTTCTACCCCATAGTGGATGAGGAGACATGTGTTCACACTACTTTCATTTCTAGAAGTGTAATTCAATCTGTCCCTGATTGTGTCTCATTTTCTTCAAATACAAGATCAGCTGTCTGGGTGAATTAGTGTCTACTGGCTTAGTCTTTGTGCACAACATACTTGTGCTGATTTAAAGCTGTGGGCTTCTGAATCTGAAGTTTATCTGGCTATATTTAGAGATTAGGATATAATATGTCATGATTATACCCCCCCACACATATGCTAAATGCAGAAAACATGCAATTTGTATTAAGTTAGCTCAGAAATTAACAATTTTTCTGGAAAAGCATTTTGTCTCATGCTAAATTTCTATAATTTTAAAATTTGGATTGTATTTAGAAATTAGGTGTGTTTTATAGCTTTTATAATGTGATCTTTAATACAATTTATAAATTGTATTTTTTCATTACCCATTTACTCTTTATTTAATATTGTGACTGGTTAAATACAAAAGTTTAACTTGGAGCTAAACTAAAGCAACTTTAGAAACCAGAAAAATCATTGTCCAGCAATCTGAAATATATATTTAAATTTCCTAAGGCCAGCTAATGGGATCAGTATATTAAGAATTATGGTGTAGTTTGTTGAGAGTCTCCAATAATACCTTCACATAAAAGCAAATTTTATTAGGTTATTAGATGCTAAAAATAACCAAACAGTATAATATTTCATTCTTATAGGAAAAGGAACACATCTATATTTTGTTTGACTGCTAGAAAGGCGATTATTTAAATAGTGAGTAGTTATTAAATACGAAGGGATCCTTTTATACCTCATAGCTATTTATTTTAAAAGTTAAATGGCAAAATGTGAAATGTTGGCCTTTTGAAATGAAAATAATTCCTGGAAGCAGACTAAACGTTCAACAAATACCGAAGTGGTTGAAACATATGTTTGAAATGTCTAGCTGTGGGATTCTAACATATAGAGAGGGAGGGCTGACAATAGAGGGAAACAGAAAGCAACCAAGAATTTCAATATTACTGATGAAAAGAACAAATGTTGAGAATTAAGGGAATAGTATTGCTGGACTGTTGTGTTCAATATAAAATATGATTTTTGGAATTGAGGGTTTGAGGATAAAGTTATTTAAGATATTCTGTTATCCAGAGTTTTGGATTTTCAGTGATTGTTTTTTGAGAAGAGGAAGATAATTGGCAATGAGAAGGTGAGGAAATTCTCAAGCATGTTCTAGATAGGTTTATTGGCATGTTTATGGAATTTAATAAACACTATGCCTGAGACAAAGTGAAAGGAAAGACATGAGCTAATTATTGAATTCACAAAAGAACCGATAATCAGCAGAACAAGTTTATACACTTTTTAACTACATGGATTGCACCTTTTGTGTGTGTTAATGATTAGCAAGGGGATTGGTATGCAAATGTATTGTAAGTGAAATAATATATTTTAAAGATAAGCAGTATATTAGATGTATTTCCATGTACCTGGGACTGTTCTGATGTGAATTGTTTCATTTAATCCCCTCAACAATCTAATGAGATAGGTATGATTAGTTTCACATTTGTGCAAATACAGAAACAGGCTCAGAGAGATTTGCCAAGAGTCATTTCTGGCATGTAGTAAAGCCAGAATTTGAATTCAAGCATTGTGACTCTAGGCCACTTTCTCCAAATTCTATAGTGACCTGGCCACACTAAAAACTGAGTGTAATGAGACCACCATTATTATTTTATTTTTAGAATATAATGTTTTGTTATACCAGGGAGATGGGATGGGGGTGTTTTTCTGGATTTTAATCTCTGTTGCTGGCTATAGAATATTGGATAGTTCTCCTAAATCCTGTAGCTCTCTGTTTCCCCATATTTAATGTAAGACTGTGCTAAGCTTACTTTAACTAATATCTATGTTTTTTTTTAACTTTATCAACATAGATTTCCTAATTATTTTTCACTGTCATCACTTGGGAAAACATATTTCGCCTCTTCTTGCCTTCTGGACTTTAAAAGTATATTCCAGGATACATCCCCCTTTTGGCAAACCATCTTTTGCCTGCTTGCCTTCTGGACTTTAAAGGTGTATTCCAGGATACATCCCCCTTTTGGCAAACAGACACTTATGAACGCCACATGTTACTGATGTTAAAGGCAGCATACAATAGGCAAGACAAAATGAGACAATGGGGCTACTCAAAAAAGCAAATTCATAACGCAAAAGAGAAAAGCCAGATAAGCAGAAGAGAGGCTGAATAAATGGAAGGTCATAACGATAAATGTTGAAAATAAAAGGCCATCAAAAAGAACTGTTAGAAATAAGTATTTTTAGAAATAAATTTAAATCTAATGTTCAGTAACATTTTGCCTTATTACAAATGCAAAGCAGCATCCTTTTTGCTCTGCAATTATTTTTCCATGGATGTGTAAGAACAGGCTTTGACATTCTTTAAGCTCAGGGAGGCTAATGCTTTAATAAACAGCTTGTTATCAGTGGGCTTTCGCTCTGCCATGCTTGCAATTCCCAGTCTCACTCAGTCAGGGGAGAATCTTTGCGTTCAGTGTAAACATCTTTTATCCTGATACCGCTTCAATGTGTTAGTCCCTAAAGTTCTCATATTTGGTATTTAATTATTGGTTAATTAAATCACACAGTTTAGAGGAGTTTTAGATTAAAGGCATATTAAATGTCTGATTCACTTTTGAGAACGTGATATAATGTCAACCCATGTATAATGAAAGCGTTAAGCTTTTAGAAAAATGCAATTTTCTACAACCTGAAAAAAAGCAACCGAAATACAACTGTATGAATGAACTGTTTCTACAAAACCAATATTTGTCCCGGGAGCTCTCTGGATATGTAGGGTGAAACAATTCAGGTGACCAATATCTTATAAAATTTCACTGATATGGTAATTGTAGAAGCAATTTGGAAGGTTTTAGCTTTTATTTTTATTTTTTTATCTTGGTTGCACAGATTTGAAGTACTTATGACCCTCAGCTCATTAACTATGTTCTTTATTGATCTAGCAATGCCTTTGTCTTGTTTTATTATATGTTAATCATCATTTCTTGGCCCCCTCCTCATCACTTTTGCTAGTAAATGTGCCAGTGAATTTAATTAATTTGTGCCCTTAGATATGCATGCATCTTTGAAAACTGTATATTGTTGGTTTGTGTGTGTGTGTGTGTGCGTGTGCATGTTTAATTTGTGTAAATGATATTGTGTAATGTAGGTTTTATAGTTCCACACCTTTAGCTTTTAACTATAATCAAACTCTCTAGCCATGTTGCTGTAAGGAAGATAATTAAATCTGACCTGTATATGCAATGCCATCCGGAGGCAACACATTTTACTTATTTAATTTCCTGGTAGTGACACCCCAGTTGCATCCTACTCCATCCTGCCATAATAGATGTTATGATAAATATCCTCTTACATGGTACTTTTGGACACATGAGATAAAGTTTCCACAATATTGCTAATGATACTTATTTTACATGCATTTAATATTACTTCTTTTACTGCTTTAATTAGTTGCAATACATATAAAATAATTGTGTATTCTTTAAGAGTTTATTTTCTACTTTTCTTTATGGTTATAGGTTTTTCCTCTATGAAAAAAGAGCTTTTCATAAGAGAATTATACATAAGTTGTGATGGCAATACATCATTATGTCATCATTATCATCATAAAAATATTTCTAGTTATTTGCTATTTTTTTTTATTTTAACTCCCATTGCAACTAAGATTGACTCTTCCTTTTCTTGAAACTGTCTATCAGCATCAATTTTCTTTGGACATTAGTCACTTTGCTTTTCAGGCAAGAGGAGGAGTTTGTTTTCCAAGGCATTGCAAGTCTCTGCTCTTTTATCCCTTGTCATATTCCGTGCAAATGTGGATAATAAGACACCTGAAAGGTAAATTTTTGAGATCATTTTTTTCTTTTCATTTTATATTAAACATTGCATTTTGAATTTAAATATTGCTTTTGAATCATTTGGGATGATTTTTGAAGACACAAACTACTGAATGTTCTATAGACAATATTTCTGAGCAAATAAATTGCTAACCCAGCAAACTTTTTAAGTGAGACTTTTAGAAATGTGAAAAGAACATTTTTGATAAATAAATATGAGTTATTTCTTTTAAGTAACCATAATTCTGTATATTGAAATGACAGTAAGGTTATTTCTTTACTTGCCTGAAATGTATTGAGCCTGGCACCGTGTTAGATGTGGGAGTGTTCATTGTAAATGAGAAAGGCACAGTCCTTTTTTCCCACAGAAATCAGATTCTATCAGAGCAGGCTCTATTTAGGCAAATCATCCACTAGTTTATTGAGTCCTAGGATCAAATTTTTACTCTGCAGACCAAAGACCTATATTTATTCGGACTAAGGGGTGAGCAAGCCCTGAAGGACTGGTTCTTGACAACTATAATAAACACAGACTAAAGTCAACGTTAGAATATTAATGAATTTTCCAATTAGAATTGATGGCAACAAGAATCTGAATATGCAAAATATCCCAGAAAAATAGATTCTTTGCCTGTATTAAAGGGCAGTCAACATTTCAAAGAGCACTTTTGTAAGAATACAACAAAAGAAAAATTATACTGTTTTATAATAAGGTTCAGGTAAATAGATCTGTTGAGATAGCCTTGCCAGTGGGACCAAAGTACTTGATACCAAGGAAGGTTGCCTTTGCCCTGAGAGTGCTTATTGTGTGCTAAGGGTTATATTTACCCTCTGTTTTTCATACATATTATATTCAATCAATTTTAAGACATGATTTCCCCAAATATTAATATAAGTAGATTTTTGCTCTGTTTTGTAAGAAATGACAACTTACAACTGCTATCAGCCAGGCAACAGTCAAAATAGAATTGTAATTACCTCCAAATGTGGAAACTTGGTCATAACTGCTCAACTGCATAAGGTATATTAATGGTACAGTGTGGCTGAAAATTAATTGCTGTTTAAAATGCCCTCAAGGCCAGACATGGTGGCTCAGGCCTATAATCCCAGCACTTTGGGAGGCTGAGGTGGGCGGATCACCTGAGGTCAGGAGTTTGAGGTCAGCCTGGCCAACATGGTGAAACCCCATCCCTACTAAAAATACAAAAAATTAGCTGGGAGTGGTGGCAGGCGCCTGTAGTCCCAGCTACTTGGGGGGCTGAGGGAGAAGAATCACTTATACCCGGGAGGCGGAGCTTGCAGTGAGCTGAGATCGCGCCACTGCACTCCAGCCTGGGCGACAGAGCGAGACTCCGTCTCAAAAAAAAAAAAAAAAAAAAAAAAAAGCCAGTCGTGGTAGCTGACGCCTGTAATCCCAGTACTTTGGGAGGCCGAGGGGAGTGGATCACCTGAGTTTGAGATCAGCCTGACCAACATGGTGAAACCCTGTCTCTACTAAAACTACAAAAATTATCTGGATGTGGTAGTGCATGCCTGTAATTCCAGCTACTCAGGAGGCTAAGGCAGGAGAATCGCTTGAACCTAGGAGACAGAGGTTGCAGTGAGCCGAGATCGTGCCATTGCACTCCAGTCTGGGTGACAGAGCAAGATTTCATCTGGGGGAAAAAAAAAAAAGGTATTCAATTAATCTTTTTTGAAATGAAAGTAAAATTATTGAGGAATGGAAATTATTAAGGTCATTTTAACAGATTAGAATATTCAATTAATGAATATTTCATATATTCTTCAAGTTAGCATTAGAATATTTATGCACAAATGTAATATAGATCTAACAATTTACTTAATCTTACTTAATCACCACAAACCTGTGTCTTTTTAATTTTTTATTAACACATTTCACCGTGCCTGAAATGTATAAACAGAGAAACTAATTATAGCCACGGTTGCATCTTGGCCACTATCCATTAAAGTTATACAGAGAGCTCTGAAAATATTTTCAGTAATCCATGGCCACTTTTGGGTGAAAGCCAATCGAAGTAAATATTCCATCAAGGTTTAGAATTGTTATTTGCTTTTGCATCTTCGATATCGCGTTCAGTGAAATCAGAAAATTGAAGTTTCATGCTCAAGATTTATTTTCCTGAATAGTTTTTATTTTAGGAGATGAAATATTTGCCATTATTACTAACTCTGAACTCCGAAAGATACAATTTAGGTGATTTTGTCTAAGATAGATATAAAAGGATTCCAATAATTTAGGTGGAACTTTTAAGCAGGTTATGTTCAGTTGGTCCCAAATGGCGATACAAATAGTTCAAATTTTCTGTATTAGATAGCAAAGCATATTTCTCCACAAAGCAGTTGCTTTTTTATGTTTGCTTTACAGACACCTAGGATCAGAGGAAAATATGCCTGGACAATACACTGAATGTGTACAACAAGAATATTTTAATGCTAGGAAATATAAACCAAGATTACTTTCCTATATGGTATTACTGTATTATTGGTGGATAGTGTATTATAGTATGTAGGTATTATTGGTGGATATGTGTATATAAAATAAACTTCTCTGATAATAGTCCTGGTCATCTTAATGGGGCCACCTTATCACTTATGATAATAGTAAATCACCCTTTTCATGTCTGCTTCCTAAACAATATCTATAATTATGCTTCTCTCTTGGCTCATTTGACAATATCCTATGGTTGGTTTTATTCTAAGATATATCATTAATCTTAATGATTTAAGTGTTTGAAATTCTTAAAAATTAATCATTTTTATATATCAATTTAACTATGTAATTTAGGTAGTAAAAAATTAATGGTCAGATGCAACCGGGATTTTATTTTTCTTAATTATAGTTTTTCACAAGAAATTCTTGACTAAAAATAGTAGAATATGTTGTTGACATTCTTGAGAAATTTAAAATAAAATTAGAAATTATTATTTCAATCAATTGATCAAATTATAAGTGAACTATCCTACTAATATTTCACGTATCAATTATGGAAATTTACTAAACTAAAATATTCATTTTGAAAAAACAAGAACACAATATATAGATACAAAATTTGTAATTTATTTTCTCACAAAACAGTTATAAAATTATGTATTAGGGTGACATTTTTGTGTTGTTTTCTTATATTAAGTTTGATTTTTTATTACGGCAAAAAAAATTTTATTGCAGTTTTTGATTGGTTCATTATTGCTATTTTATTATTCTGTATTTGGACACATGATTATGAAGAACGATGTTTAAATCTGACTAACATAACTCATATTCTTACATCTATGCTTTCTTTATTTATGGAACTATTTCTACTATATGAGTCAAATATTCCTTTTTTTTTAGGTGACATTATTCATATCAGTAATATTTAGGATTAGCTGAACCTTTCCAAGAGGCCTATGTGCCTATGATTGCAAAATATTTTGAAATATTTGGAATTCCTGATCTTTTACAATCATATAAATTAGGTTACTTAGACGACATAATTAAGTAACCCTTCCAAATACCCACGCTAGGTCATCCTTTGGTACTTTCTTTCTTTCCCTCATTTACAGTTTGTTTGTTCATGTATCGGTTGACTTGGTTTGTAGATTCTCTGCCACCTAAATGCATTTGTAGAGATTTTTAGCTTCTTTAAACTATCTAAAATAAATATTCCAACATTTTATTTAAAATTTCAAAGAGCAACAGGAGTACGTAGTCTGTATTTTTCAGATCAAGATAATTCTTTCATTCACCAAATAGTGAGTGCCTTATCGAAGTATTGTTGATTCATCTAGATAGACTTCATTCATCATTGAAGAAAAAGACATCCTGTTATGTAGGAATTTGTTTAAGTGGAGAGACAGACAATAAACATAATAAATAAGTGCATTTATAGTATGCTAAAAAGTGATACATATAGTAGGACTTATTAACTTATTGATTCCTTCATGTATTTCTTTCACAGAATGTAGGTTGAATTCTAAGCTTATGTTCACCTGGACACATTGATTATAATGACTTTATAATCTGAAATACTGTAAGTGCAATGCTTACAGCACATACATGACTTTATATTTCACAACACTAACACATATGTACTCTATCAAGAAAGGCTAAATTTGTATTCCATATAAATTCAGTAAGAGTGACTTTTTTCTAAAGTAGCAAATACACTTTTAATTGATTTCAGATAAAAAACACTTGGGGAAGGTCAGTAATTGTTTTACCTAGAGCCATATTCTGAACAGAATGAAGGAACTAACTTAACTGGTTATTTTCATTATTTTACACCAGCCACGGTATTAGAAAAAACTAGGCATTGCATCAGTTTAGGTTAAATGTGTGACTAGAAACCAAATCCCGTCTCTAGTTTTTCTTGAATGCTTCTTTGTGGACTAAGCTTTCATGGTGTCATTCTTGGTCGTTGCTTTCAGTTTATTCCAGACACCCCTTTTGGCCTTGCTGTATTTCTGTATTTATGTCGCCCACGCCACTTGGTTGCAATGTTCTTAGATCAACAGCATCTCATCATCCTTTAGCTTGATCTTGAGGTGCCTAATACCCTCAGCAGCTTTTTCAAACTCAGCCTGAGACCTCCTGGCTGGGTTGCTGGGACCCTAGCAAGCCCACACAGGAGGCAAGGAGTGGGAAGCCATCAGTAAGAGTCAAGAGTGACTTTTGAAATTGTGGAACTAGTCAAACAAGGAGGATAAACTACATACTTAAGATATACGAATTATTTCAGACCGTAATAGGCATAACCCTTTTTCTAAAAATGCTTCCTGTAGTATCCTATACACACAACACGGGCCCAAAATAACCTCTTTAGAAGTCCATGGACTTTAAAAAAAAAAAAAAAAGAGACAACACTCACAATTTACTTAGAAATATTTGTGGCACGAATTTGTCTCATTCTCAACTGCTTTTGTATTCTAAAATCTTCCTTTGAAAGTAAGAATTCACCATTGCTTAATTCATTAAACTTTGTTTTTCTAACCTTATTCTTTGTGACTTTATCACATAACTTTTTTGACTAATTTCTTCAGTGTCCTGCGTAGGCAGTAAGTGACATTGTCATAAACAACCAGTCTCCGCCCATTTTTCTCCTTGGTGTTCTCTGTCCTCACTTTGCTCAATCTAACAAAGCCAGGATACCACAGCTGATGGGGATTCTCTTTAATTATGCGTCTGTTGTATTAATAGATATCCACTGCCTCTATCTGGAAGAACTGACAGTGATTACACAGTTTCATCCTACAAATAAGAGCAGGTGCAGCTGTAGATAGTCCCTGATTAACAATTTCATTTAAATGTTATAACAGATTTCTGTAGGGCAAATTACTCCCACTGGTAAGGAGGTGTACTTTTGTGTATAATATAATTCACTAAATCTAGAATTTAATTATGTTAGTAATAACAAAAGCCCTTAGTGTGCTAAAAATTCCCAAATATATTGGCCCCTTCTATCAAAATAACTACTGTAAAACAAATGAATTGTTACTAGAAATGTTCCTTATGGAGCAAGTATGTAAATAATCTCTCACAGTCCTACTTCTATGGGTATTTTGTTTATTGACATATACATCTTTATAATTTGCATTAAACAATGTATTTGTTTTTTACTTACCACATAATCATAAAATTATTTCATTAATTAAAAGTTTTCAAATGCCTGTGATTTTACCATTTTGCCACTGCTTATTTAAGTTATTCAAACTTTTTCAATTTTCAAAAAAGCTATATAGATTTTTAAAATAAACAATTAAAATTAGTGTATAAAAGCATAAGCCCTTTTTTCTTTTGATATTCATCTCAAAATTACTCTTCAGAAAATTTGTATTAAAGAGCTACTCAAGAGTAGTCAAATACCATTTCCTAGTGCTAACATAGAAAAGAACTATTATAATAATTTTAACAATTGAAATAAGAAAATTCACTGACTGTGCTTGCTTTAAAATTTTTTTTAAATATATTTTTTTCATGATTTGGCTCTCTGTTTGTCTGTTATTGGTGTATAAGAATGCTTGTGATTTTTGTATATTGATTTTGTATCCTGAGACTTTGCTGAAGTTGCTTATCAGCTTAAGGACATTTTGGGCTGAGACAATGGGATTTTCTAGATATACAATCATGTCGTCTGCAAACAGGGACAGCTTGACTTCCTCTTTTCCTAATTGAATACCCTTTATTTCCTTCTCCTGCCTGATTGCCCTGGCCAGAACTTCCAACTACCAATGACTTTCTTCACACAATTGGAAAAAACTACTTTAAAGTTCATATGGCACCAAAAAAGAGCCCGCATTGCCAAGTCAATCCTAAGCCAAAAGTACAATGCTGGAGGCGTCACGCTACCTGATTTCAAACTATACTACAAGGCTACAGTAACCAAAACAGCATGGTACTGGTACCAAAACAGAGATATAGATCAGTGGAACAGAACAGAGCCCTCAGAAATAATGCTGCATATCTACAACTATCTGATCTTTGACAAACCTGAGAAAAACAAGCAATGGGGAATGGATTCCCTATTTAATAAATGGTGCTGGGAAAACTGGCTAGCCATAGGTAGAAAGCTGAACCTGGATCCCTTCCTTACACCTTCTACAAAAATTAATTCAAGATGGATTAAAGACATAAACTTTAGACCTAAAACCATAAAAACCCTAGAAGAAAACCTAGGCATTACCATTCAGGACATAGGCATGGGCAAGGACTTCATGTCTAAAACACCAAAAGCAATGGCAACAAAAGCCAAAGTTGACAAGTGGGATCTAATTAAACTCAAGAGCTTCTGCACAGCAAAAGAAACTACCATCAGAGTGAACAGGCAACCTACAAAATGGGAGAAAATTTTCGCAACCTACTCATCTGACAAAGGGCTAATATCCAAAATCTACAATGGACTCAAACAAATTTACAAGAAAAAACAAACAACCCCATCAAAAAGTGGGCGAAGGACATGAACAGACACTTCTCAAAAGAAGACATTTATGCAGCCAAAAAACACATGAAAAAATGCTCACCATTACAGTCTATCAGAGAAATGCACATCAAAACCACAATGAGATACCATCTCACACCAGTTAGAATGACAATCATTAAAAAGTCAGGAAACAACAGGTGCTGGAGAGGATGTGGAGAAATAGGAACACTTTTACACTATTGGTGGGACTGTAAACTAGTTCATCCATTGTGGAAGTCAGTGTGGCGATTCCTCAGGGATCTAGAACTAGAAATACCATTTGACCCAGCCATCTCATTACTGGGTATATACCCAAAGGACTATAAATCATGCTGCTATAAAGACACATGCACATGTATGTTTATTGCAGCACTATTCACAATAGCAAAGACTTGGAACCAAGCCAAATGTCCAACAATGATAGACTGGATTAAGAAAATGTGGCACATATACACCATGGAATACTATGCAGCCATAAAAAATGATGAGTTCATGTCCTTTGTAGGGACATGGATGAAATTGGAAATCATCATTCTCAGTAAACTTTCGCAAGGACAAAAAACCAAACACCGCATATTCTCACTCATAGGTGGGAATTGAACAATGAGAACACATGGACACAGGAAGGGGAACATCACACTCTGGGAACTGTTGTGGGGTGTGGGGAGGGGGGAGGGATAGCTTTAGGAGATATACCTAATGCTAAATGACGAGTTAATGGGTGCAGCACACCAACATGGCACAAGTATACATATGTAACTAACGTGCACATTGTGCACATGTACCCTAAAACTTAAAGTATAATAATAATAAAATTAAAATATATATATATATATATATTTTTTTTTTCTTTAAAGTGAGTAAAAGCCTTGGGAAATGAACTGTTGTTAAGGTTTCATAATTACATTTATGGCCACTGAAATAATGTAAAATGTACAAATCTTCAAAATACCATTTTGGGCCCAAAGTAGAGAATTTTTTTGTTTATTTGGCTTGGCTTGGTTTTGGTGTGATCCTGTAAATAGTCCTATATTTAATATTATTACTGAATATTTTGTGAGGTGAGTTGCAAAGGCTCAAGTACAATTCAGGGACCCAGTTTGAAAATGTTAATGATGGTTTGTTCGTTTATCCCTTGTGCTGCTGATGAAGCCATGTGGCAGTATCATCTTACTCTCTTTAGCTGATCTTTCTCCCTTCCTGGACAATCAGAATTTGATATTCTTTTTGCAATCATTACATATTTATCATATTCAAAACCATGCATTAAAATATAGGTCACTATTCCAACCTTCTTCCCTGATGTAGTCTAGATCCTTGTGTCCACAATTTCAGCCCCTGCAACATGTCTAAACCTGAAATCTCTATTGCACCCCAGTACCCCTGCTTCTACTTAATAATAGCCATGATCTCCAGAAGCTGAAAACCTGGCCGTCTTCCTGTTTCCCATCTCTATCCTCCTCCCATAATATGCTTTTAAATCTATATGCCTTAGTGACCAATTTATCAATTCCAACTACCTTCTGTCCAACTCTATTACTCCTAGTTTATTTTCAGATCTCTTATATCTCAGTTGAATTATTGAAACAATCTCCTAATTGTTCTTGCTATGTTTCGAGTCCCATCACTCCTGTTTCTCCCTTGGAAACATTTTATTTAGTGCACCAGATTTTTTTCTTTTATTTGTTACTATATTGTATATTTCAAATTACTCAAATTTAGTGCTTACAACATATTACAGCAATTATTCATTTGGATATCCTTTCTATAACCTGATCAGGGTGAAGCCAAGATTCCAAATTACTTCTAAACATATACTGTAAATGATACTCAATAAAGTGATTGGAGGGCAAGAATAATTTTCTATATAAATTGCTCAGATGAGTTTTTATATGCACTACCTGGATAGGAGGTGAGTTAAGTCTTGAGAGCAAAGTCTTCCCGAGACGAAACATATAGTTTGTTAGAAGTAATTAGTTACCTGTTCATTAGTAGAAGTATGGGCTTCCTTAATTTTCCTTTTAGACCACCATATTGTGGTTGAGTATCTGTAGGTTTATTAGTGTAACAGCTAAACCCAAGTCTTGCTGTCATGAATTCTAGTACACTGGTTTGGGGTGGTAAACTAGATGAATGCTCTTTAGTTCAGTGAAAGGTTTATTCATTGTTTAATGAACATTTATTGACAGAATTGTTAACTTGTCGAGGTTTTTTTCCTAACAGCTGTGTGTTCATCTGTAATATTTAAATAGACTTTCCTGTAAATTAAATCATACATTTTACTTTGCATAAAAACTAGCTTTATATGTAATAGATACCAATATTGGTGTTAATGTAGATATGGAAATGAATAATACTGTAAATATTTAATAACTCATATGTAGTGATTAATTAGAATAATACCACAGCCCTACAAAGTTAGCCATTAAAACTGGGTATTGCCTTACTGGAGTATTTCAATGAATAGCAATATTAGTAGTTACATACATGAATTAACCAAAGTATGTTGTAAATTGAGATTGTCATATAAAAGGGCTCCTCCAATTTCATAAACTATGGGATTGAAAAGTTTGAATGTTGTTAATTTAGAAAAATTAACCATTTTCATTTTTTAGATATATTTTAAACGTGCCTTAATAGCTCAAGCTAGACTTCTATCTTTGTCTAATTCTAATAGTAATGAGAGAATTTTTTAATCTTTTTTACTCTGTAATTGGAAATGTCCACCCCAAAATACCACATAATAATTATAAAGTTTGTTTTATTCATATACCTTTACTATTTAAATTATTCCAGGTGCAAATAACTGCTCCATCATGAAATACAAGCAGAACATAACTTGAAGATTTAATTTTCCTTCTTTATCAGTATTAATTTTAGAATATTTAAACTTAGTTTTAATTAATGTGTTTAAATAATTTCTAAATGAATCTCATGGTACAGTCAAGAGGCTGAAGACTTGCTCTACAGATTTCAAATTAATGGTTTTTGACAATTCTAATTAATAATTTATTATACATGCCAATATGTAGACAAAGTTTGCTTGTACATTTAGAAATTTAATTACATAGGAAATGCCACTGCATGTTTAAACAGAGGACCAGGAATTACGACCTGCACAGATAACAGACCTCCCTCCTCCACACATGTGTTTCAGTGAAGGCTGCATTGTTTCTTGAAATGACAAGGGCCTGCTACCAATAGGGTTATGAAGCATTGTAGATTTTTTTTTGAAAGGAAAGACTTCTTTGCAGCAATTTTATATATGATGTGATTCCTGTTAAACTGTTTTACCAAAAACCAAAAAAAAACAAAAAAAGGAAAAACAAAGGTGTCGAAACTATTTCAGCCTCAGATTTGAGATGCATCATTTAGATGAACTTTTTAAAGCTATTTTAATTTTTACACTTATTTGCTTGTGTGTTTTATAGGTATTTTTAATCTGCTACAACATGTTTACAGTATGAATACTCTGAGAAAATTAGTTAGCAAAACTCCAGCAGCTTTAAGAGCACGAGCCAACTCACTACAATGTCCCAAAGCTCTTTTAGCCAGAGTCAGTAACAGAGAAGCCAAAAATATTAGTGAAATTCCTGTAAGTTGTATGAAATGTGATGTAACGAACCAAAATGTGTCTGTACATAAATACGTTGCCATGACTTTTCAATACATGATTTGGTTCCACTTTCCCTAAAGAACTTGATTGTCTTATTTAATACTCAAAAAACAAGCTGTTGTTTATAGAAAAATTATTAAACTGGGCCAAAACATCATTTAAGAAGCCATCAGATGCCAAGTAAAAATTGCATTATGAAGGGAGTGAGTACATGTAGACGTTCATTTAGTTAGAAATGAACAATCATTTTTAAAAAGCTCTGAAACAATTTAATTGATGTAATCACTGGAAAAGTACATAATTTATATATTTAAAAATGGCATGTTGGGTTTCATAATCTCTAGGACTGTATACCATAAACCACTTTTATATATCACTGAGAAAGGAAAAGCACAAGTGATAAACCTATGGCATCCCATGGATTGTGAGATGAAACACATTCAGATTTTAGATATTTTAAAATGTGAAAAATCATGCATCTTAAGATTGATGAAATTCTATAGTTGATGGTACGTTTAAGTGTGTATCAGAGGATATAACTTCTAGTTCCAGATAAGCTAATTAATCTCCAAATGAGAAAATCACTTAATTTTCTCGAGCCCTAAAATGCTATGGTTCTGTACAAGAATGATGGCAATATTTTTTGAAAAAGCTCACTGAAGGAAGAATAAAACAAACCAAAAATTAAGTGAAGAATTATACACTTGTACTATGTTATTTTGTTATGGTATATTTGATGTAAAATTAATTTCCAAGTTGAAGAAATCAAAGTTCCTCTTATTATCTGGGAAAATAAGAATCTTGATCAGATCTAATTTAAACTGTTTTCTAATGATTAATATAATTTACTTGATGAATTTGGGAAGAAGTTATTTACATTGTGTGTTTCAAGTTAATCATGACAAAGAGTTCATATGTATTTTTTCTATTTCTTAGGGTAAATATCTGCCATTAAAGGATAAATATTCTAATTTTTAGTTTTTTCCAATTCTTAAATTCTTTTTTTATATATTGCTTCTGAATGTTTTTGTAGTTCTGAAATTTCTAAATTTATACAAGTGTTATTTCAACGGTTGATGCCACCTTAAACATCTGTCATACTTTCTTGGTGTTAACTCCTGGTAAATGTTGGGTATAAAATGGATTGTAATCGTAAGCATTTATTGTTATTATAAATTAGTCTATTGCCTGAAGATTTCCCTATTAGTATTTAGGCATATTTTACACCTGAGTACCTTGTTGAATCATTGAGATTTCTGATTTTGTGACATACTTGAAGTGTTCTTGTCAGAATCCCAAATATACAG
Organism: Homo sapiens; assembly: GCF_000001405.40. Classification (NCBI taxonomy): domain Eukaryota; kingdom Metazoa; phylum Chordata; class Mammalia; order Primates; family Hominidae; genus Homo; species Homo sapiens. The sequence goes on along the minus strand of NC_000008.11, from coordinate 14,683,088 downwards.
TCATTTATCATCATGGGTTTTCACAAGTTGCTTATTTTGTACCTTATAGAAATATTTGACACCTGGTTCTATTAAATTAAATGGCGTTATCTGGTCATCTTCTATGGCCACCCCAATAATTACAAATTCTGAACACAGATTCAGAGGTGTTGACTTTCACCATCTGCCGGCAAATGTCATCTATGCAGTTATTTACAAAAGGTTAAACAATACTGAATCTAGCCCAATTTACCTTTAAATCAATCAGTTTGGATTTGATCACTGAAATTCAAATGGCTATTTAGATTTCAAAACTGAGTGTTTAAGGTAAAGTATTCTGCATGGTAAAAGACATCTCTGTTTGTTAAGTTATGTGCATGGTTTATGGTGGCTCACGCCTGTAATCCCAGCACTTTGGGAGGCCGAGGCGGGCCGATCACAAGGTCAGGAGATCGAGACCATCCTGGCTAACACAGTGAAATCCCGTCTCTACTAAAAATACAAAAAATTAGCCGGGCGTGGTGGTGGGCGCCTGTAGTCCCAGCTACTCAGGAGGCTGAGGCAGGAGGATGGCGTGAACCCGGGAGGCGGAGATTGCAGTGAGCCGTGATTGCACCACTGCACTCCAGCCTGGGCGACAGAGCAAGACTCTGTCTCAAAAAAAAAAAAAAAATTGCATTGCAGGGTGCATTATATATGTATGTGCATTTTTAATTAAGTTTTACTTATACAAAGTGGTACATAATCTGTACATATGTATTGTTCCTATTATCACCATCTGGTGGATGGGAGGCCTTTCATTGCTTTTCATACTCAAAGTATAATCTTATATTCAAAAATGAAATATTTTCTATAGTACAACCCTAGCCTCTTTTATATTCCTGTTAAAGTTTCCTGTATTTCCCATTGTATTTTCCATCATTTCTTTAGTCGAACAAATTGATCGGCTATTCTCTGAACCTTTCCAGCCTTTGCCATCCATGCTTGAAGCATCACTACATAATAGATTATGCCCCAGGGCTGTGAAATCTGACTACCTGGACTAAAGGTTGGATTGAACCCTTTGCTACCTCTGGGCAGATATGTTATTTTTCTCTGTGCTTCAAATTCGTTCTCTGTTACTATGAATATTAAAGTCATTATTATTATGGATTATTTATTATTAATATTAAAATATATGGAACATTAAAATACTTACCAAACATTAGCTATAAATGTGCCATTTATCATTTAAACTACTTCTCCCTAAGATGCCTGTTGAATTCACTTGTGTCATCTAAAAGCCCATGGGCTTCCTGCCATGCAAGAGGAGAACATTAAAAAACATGCAGAGACCTCTCTCTAAGATATTCATTCACCAAGAAGAAGGGTTGATGAAATAGCTGCTAAATTATAGAATTAATAATCAGGGACATAATTATTTTAGATCTGAGTAATATCTGATCACTGCTGAATTTTACATCTAATCTCATTTTAGGATTATGCGTATGTACTTTGTTACATATATGAATGAGGTATTTCGAAGACCATCATAACTTTAGCTTCTCTTTATATCATTCGAAGTCCGAGCAACATGATCCAGGCAAGGTAACATATACATAGGTGGTATCTATCTTTCTGTAGCCATGAAATGACTAAAACCACAGGTGAAATTAACCTATACATGATAATGTGATGGTTTACATTATATTTCTAAAAGTCCTATTTCTATTTTTTAGTAAAATAGTTTTTGTTGGGTATAGAAGCCTAGGCTGTCATTTTTCCCCCTTTAATACATTAGATATGGCACTTCATTGTCTTGTGGCTTGCATTGTTCCTGATTATACATCTACAGTAATTCCTAATTGTGTTCATCTGTACATAATGTCTTTTTTCCTCCCTCAGGCTGATTGCAAGACTCATAATCATGGATTTTCAGAAATTGTGATATATTTTAGTGTGCTGTGCTGCGTGTTTCTTTGGACTATTTTTTCTTTAATTTACAGTTGTTGTGGGCCTGTTTTTGCCATTATTTCATTAAATGTATTTGTCTAGCTCATTACTCTGAACTAGGGCAATTTCATCTATGGATTTCAATTAAAAGTATGTTAGATCTCCTGGTATTGTGCCAGGGTTCACCGATTTTCTGTTTTTTTTTTTTTTTTTCCCACTCTTTTTCCTCTGTATGTTTCATTTGGATTCTTCAAGTTGCCATATTTTCAAGTTCACTAATGTTTTCTTCTGAGTGTCCAATGTGCTGTTAATCCTGTCCAGTATATATTTCATCTAAGACACTGTATTTTCATCTTTGGGAGTTTAATTTGTGTCTTTTTAAATACAGTCTGTATCTCTCCTCACCAGGCTCATGCCTTTTTCTGCTTTGGAATATATGTAGTATATTTATAAGAGCATTTTAATGTATTTTTTCACTAATTATATCTGTGAGATTTCTTGCTCCGTACAATCTATGTCTCTCCTCACCAGTCTCATGCCTTCTTCTACTTTGGAATATATGCAGTGTATTTATAAGAGCTTTTTAATGTATTTTTTCACTAATTATATCTGTGAGATTTCTTGCTCCGTTTATATGAGTGATTTTTATTTCATTTTTAATAGATAATTTTTAGAACAGTATTTAGTTCATAGTAAAATTGAACAAAAGGAACAGAAATATCATATATTGCCACCATGCATACATAGTTTCCCCATTGTAAACATCTCCCAAAGTGCCACAGTTTTTACAGCTGGTTAACCTATACTGACATATCATTATCACTAATACGGAAAGTTTACATTAGGGTTCCCTTTTGGTGTTGTATGTTCTATGGGTTTTGTTAAGTTTATAATGACACGTATACACCATTATAGCATCATACAGAGCAGTTTCACTGCCCTAAAATTCCACCATGTTTTGCCTGTTTATCTCTACCCCCTCCACTTCACCTCTTGCAACCACTGTACTTTTTAGTGTCTCCATAACGTTGCACTTTCCAGAATATCACATATAGTCATGCATGACTTCACAGTGGAGATACATTCTGAGAAACACATACTTAGACAATTTCATCATTGTGCAAATATTATGGAAAATACTTAAACCTAGCTGGTATAGCCTACTACACACATCGACTGCATGGTGTAGCCTGAGTTACAAACCTGTAAACCATTTTACTGTTCTGAGTACTGTAGGCATTTGTAACACAATGGTAAGTGTGTATCAAAATTATTTAAAGTTAAAAAAATAAAAAATATATAGTATCAAAGAGAAAAAATGGGTATCAAAGAAAACATCTGTATAGGAAACTTACCATGAAAGGAGCTTGCAGGTCTAGAAGTTATTCTGGGTGAGTAGGTGGCTAGTGAATATAAAGGGATAAGACATTACTATGCACTATTGGGGACTTTATAAACACTGTACCTTAGGCTACACTAAATTTATGAGAATATTTTTCTTCAATAATAAATTAACTTTAGCTTACTGTAACTGTTTTATTTATAAATCTTTATATTTCTTCAAATTTTTACTTTTTCTGTAATAACACTTAAAGCACAAAACCATTGTATAGATGCACAAAGTATTTTATGTAATGATTTTATAAGCACATATATGTGTGTATATATATAATATATATGTATATATATTACTTTTTTGATAAAAACTAATACACGAACACACATATTAGTTTGGGCCTATGCGGGGTCAGGATCATCAATGTCACTGTCTTCCCCCTGTACATCTTGTACCACTAACATGTCTTCAGGGCCAATAACAGGCATAGAGTTGTCATCTCCTATGATAAAAGAAATACCTCCTGAAAGATCTTCCTGAGGCTTACAGTTAACTTTAAAAAAAATATGTATGCAAAAGAAGCACACTCTAAAATAATAATACAATTTATGGTATAGTAAATATATGAACCAGTAAGTCATTTTATCATTATCAAGTATTATGTATTGTAAGTAATTGTATGTGATATATTATTATATGACTGGCAGTGCAGTAGGTCGGTTTATACCTGCACTACCTCAAACACATGTGCCATGCACTATGAGTTTACGACAGTATGACATCACTAGACGATAGGAATTTTTGAGCTTCATTATAATCTTATGATAGGACAGGCAACTATCATACGTGCTGTCTGTCCTTGACTGAAATGTTGGTATGCTGTATTTGGAATCTTACAGTATGTAGGCTTTTCAGATTAGCTTCTGTCATTTAGTAATATGCACTTAAGTTTTCTCTATATCTTTTCATAGCTTGATATTTTATTTATCTTTAATGCTAAATAATATTCCATCATCTGGGTGTACCAGTGTATTTATCTGTTCACCTACTGAAGAACATCTTGGTTGCTTCCAAGTTTTTTCAATTATGAATAAATATCAACTTTCAAGTGCAGGTTTTTCTATGAACATAGGTTTTCAATTCCTTTTGAGGAAGACCGTGGAGCACGATTGCTGGATCATAGGATAAGCATTTATATAGTTTTGTAGGAAACTGTCAAAGCCTTTTCCAGAGTGGCTGTACCATTTTGCATTCTTACCAGCAATGGATGAGAATTGCTTTTGCGCCACATCCTTACTAGCATTTGGTGTTGTCAATATTATGGTTTTGGCAATTTTAATAAGTTCTTAGTGGCATATCATTGTTGTTTTACTTTGCATTTCCCTGATGATATATAATGTGGAGCATCTTGTCATATGGTTATTTACCATTGGTACATCTTCTTTGGTGAAGTGTCTATTAAGGTGTCTGGCCCATTTTTTAGTAGATTGGTTTGATTTCTTATTTTAAGAGTTCTCTGTATATTTTTGGTTATTGTCCTTTTTCAAATATGTTTTCTACAATATTTTCTCTTAGCCTGTAGCTTATCTTTTCATACTTTTGACAGTGTCTTTCAATAAGCAGAAGTTTTCATTTTATTTTAATGAAATCCAATTTATTAATTCTTTGTTCCATGGATTATGTCTTTGTTGTTGTATCTACGTCAACATTGCCAAACAAAAGCTCATCTAGATTTTCTCCTATGTTACTTGAAATTTTACAGTTCTGTGTTTTCCATTTAAGTTTGTGATCCATTTTGTATTAATTTTTGTGAAGGATTCAAAGTCTGTGTCTAAATTAATTGTTTTGTCTGTTTCTGGGCACTTTGCTGTTATATTGCTCTGTTTGTCTATTATTTCACCAGTACCATATTATCTTGATTTCCATAGCTTTATAGTAAATACTAGGGTCAGATAAATATCAGTCCTCCAACTTCGTTCTCCTCCTTCAATGTTATTTTAGCTGTTCTAGGCCTTTTGCCTCTCCATATAAAGTTTACTTATTTATTTATTTATTTATGTATTTATTTATTTAGACGGAGTCTCATTCTGTTGCCCATACTGGAGTTTACTTGTGCGATCTTGGCTCACTGCAACCTCTGCCTCCCAGGTTCAAGCGATTCTCTTGCCTCAGCCTCCTGAGTAGCTTGTATTACAGGCACAGGCCACCCCTCCTGGCTTATTTTTGTATTTTTAGTAGAGACTGGGTTTCACTGTATTTGCCAGGCTGGCCTCTAACTCCTGGCCTCAAGTGATCTGCTCACCTCAGCCTCTCAAAAAGCTGGATTACAGGTGTGAGCCACCCCGCCCGGCCCATATAGAATCAGTTTGTTGTTATTCATAACAATATGTAGAATCAATTTGTTGTTATTCATAAAATAAGCTGAGATTTTGATTGGGTTGCATTATATCTATGAATCAAGTTGGGAAGAACTAATATATTGACAATATTGAGTGTTCCTATCCATGAACATGAAATATTTCTTCATTTTCTAGTTATTTGATTTCTTTGATCAGAGTCTTATAATTTTCTTTATATATATCTTTTATATTTTTCTAGATTTACTTCTAAGTATTTTATTTTTGGATGCTAATGTAAATGATGCTGTGTTTTAATTTCAGTTCCCACTTTCTCATTGCTGGCATATAAGTTTTTGACTTTTGTATATTAATGTTGCATCACCTTGCTATTATCACTTATTTGCTCCAGGAGAGGTTTTTTTTTGGTCAGTTCTTTTTAATTTTCTACATAGACAATTATGTCATCTGTTAACAAATATTGTTTTATTTCTTCCTTCCTTATCTTTATATCCTTGTTTATTTTTTTCTTTCTTATTGCATTAACTAGAATTTACAGTATGATGTTGAAAAAGAGTGACGAGAAGAGGCATCCTTACCTTATTCCTTATCTTTGCAGTAAATCTGGTAGTTTCTAGCCGTTAAGTATGGTGTTAGCTGTACGTTTTTTACAGATATTATTAAGCTTAGAAAATACGCTTTATTTCTTGTTTTCTAAGAGCTTTTTCATTTCACTAACAGGTGTTGGATTTTATCAGATTCTTTTCTGCATCTGTTGATATGATCATGTGTTTTTATTAGTTGATTTTTATCCTTCTTAAGGTTCATGCTTTTCCACTTCTTTGCATATCTTGTATTTTTCTAATGCCACACATCGTGGTTTATATTATTGTGCAGTAGGTTTTGGGGAATTTCTTTAAATAATGTTGGACTATTTTCCTGTGAGGCAGTTAAATCATTGTGATTAATTTTGAGGTTTACTCTGATAGAGATGGAGTCTCACTCTGTCTCCAGGCTGAAGTGCCATAGCACAATCATACCTCATCACAGCCTCGAAGTCCTGGACTCAAGTGATCCTCCTGTCTCAGCCTCCCAAGTAGCTAGAACTACAGGCATATGCCATCAGGGCTGGAGATACACACACACACACACACACACATCTATTTCATTTTTGTAGAGGTGGGATCTCTCTATGCTGTTCAGGCTGGTCTCAAACTCCTGGCCTTAAGAGATCTTTCTGCATTGGCCTTAAGAGATCCTTCTGCATTGGCCTCCAAAAGTTCTGGCATTGCAGGGATGATACTTTTGAGTGCAGAGACAGAATAGCCTGTAGTCTAGGTTCAACATTATATCATGTGTTAGGAGGTCTTTATTCTTTCTGGTAGGAACACAAACTATTCCTGAGTTGGGTTGATCCCTGAGAATTATTCCTCCCACTTCATTCCTCTGCTAGTTTTCTTCCCTGGTCTCAGTAGTTTTCTCAAATACGTGCACCTAACAGTACAGAAAATATTTAAGGAACCACTCTGCAGGTGTTTCTGTTTACCTTCCATCTATCTGCTATTCTGGTCAAAATTCTCACCACCTTAGCCTCCCTGACCTCTGAAACCTGTCTCCAAACTCAGCAAGAATAATGAGCTTTGTTTGGGTCCCCCAAATCTGCACAGCAGTTTGGAAATTCATTCCATGCAATGAGCTCATCTTGCTTGTTTTTATCTTTGATATCAGTGTTATTTGTTTCCATTTTCCCTGAAAAGATGATATTTTACATATTTTGTTGGGAGTTCCAGGTGTTTAAGGCAAGACGGGAAATCAGAGTTGTGTTTCTGTCCCTCTCTTTCTGTCCATTGTTTTTGCTCATCACATTTTTTCCAGCACCTGGGCAAGCAGCTGCCAAACAGTAGGAGCTCAGTGTATATTTTTTGGTAATTTAACATATTTTCTCATATAAATTGAGGAATCTATATATACAATGGTAAAGTGTATACACTCTGTAAAGTGTATACAGTGGTCAATAAATAAGCCATTTAAAATGTGATTTTAATGTATAGAGCTTCTATTATATAATATTTTCCTCTGTATTTAATATGTGAATTACATACCTCTAAAATGGACCTTTCTGAAACAATAAATATATGTTGTACATTCTAAAGAGAGAAATGTTTGTTTCGGTATTATGCATTATTTATGGACTACTGTATTGTTCTGTTCTTGCATTGCTAAAAATAAATACCTGAGACTGGGTAATTTATAAGAAAAGAGGTTTGGCCGGGTGCGGTGGCTCACACCTGTAATCCCAGCACTTTGGGAGGCCGAGGTGGGCAGATCACGAGATCAGGAGATCGAGACCATCCTGACTAACACGGTGAAAGCCTGTCTCTACTAAAAATACAAAAAAAATTAGCCAGGCGTGGTGGCGGGTGCCTATAGTCCCAGCAACTCCTGAGGCTGAAGCAGGAGAATGGCGTGAACCCGGGAGGCAGAGCTTGCAGTGAGCTGGGTTCACGCCACTGTACTTCAGCCTGGACGACAGAGGGAGACTCCATCTCAAAAAAAAAAAAAAAAAAAAAAAAAAAACAGAAAAGAAAAGAGGTTAAATTGGCTCACTGTACAGGAAGCATGATGGCATCTGCTTCTGGGGAGGCCTCAACGAGATTTTATTCATGGTGGAAGGCAAAGTGGGAGCAGGCAGTTTACATGGCAAAAGCAGGAGGAGGAGAGGGCAGGGGAGGGGCTACACACTTTTAAATGATCAGATCTCTTGAGAACTCACTCACTATTTCAAGGACAATACAAAGGGGATGGAGCTAAACCGTTTATGAGAAATCCACCCCCATGATCCACAATCACCTCCCACCAGGTCCCACGTCAAACATTGTGGATTACAATTAAACATGAAATTTGGGTGGGAAAGTAACCCAAACCGTATCAAAACTGAAATTTGTGGAATGAATAGAATAGCACCATATAGGTTTATTGTAAACTACACATTTTATTTTCAAACCAATTTTGCATATTTATAGCTATACTATCAGGAACTAAAGATCAGTTCAACATAATATGCTCCATTTAGCTACTTCTGTACAATTAGTTTATCTTTTTTCTTGTAAATTTAATCTTAAAAATGAGCTGTTTTAATTACTTTGAACAATAGTAGTTTCCCACACATTTTTACTCTTATCTTTTAACTAAAAGAAAAGAAATAGTTTCCTTAAACAAACTTGAATTAAGGTTTTACGTTGGTGTTTTTGGTGTAGGAAACACCGAAATCAGGATGATTTCACGTTTAGAAAAAAAAACAAGAAAAAGGGATTCTTACTTTTCTTTTAAAAATTAGCTAAGCTAACATGAAAACAGATAACTACCTATTTATGTTTTATTCTGAGTTATACTTTATTGAAGGTTTTAACAGTTTATACTAATTTCTAAAAAAATAAAAATATATAAATTTATTCATCGAACTTCATCTCCAAATTAGTATTTATCTTGTGGATCACTTTAAAGCATTTAAAAGTGTGTGACACATTCAATAACAAAGATATTTACTGCCAATTACCTTTCTTGTTTTGAACGTCTTCTTATCAATGAAACTAAAATAAAAATGAATATATTGTGTATATCACAGATCATACATTTTTATAAACTTTGTGTTTACTTTTAGTTTTCTTTTGCATTAATTTTAGGGCCTAGAATAATTGAGTAGCATCTACATCGGGCATCAGATTGTCCTTGGTTTTCTTTTCTTCCATTTTTAATTTGTTCATCTGTACATTAATTTGTTCATTTATTCGTTCATTTATTCAAGTCATATTAAGCATTTATAAATCTGATTCCTGACCTCTATATATTTACCATTGTATTAGTCCATTTTCACACTGCTATAAAAATATTGCCAGAGACTGGGTAATTTATAAATAAGAGAGGTTTAATTGACTCACAGTTCCACATGGATTGGGAGGCCTCAGGAAACTTACAATCATGGCGAAGGCAAAGGGGAAGCAGGCACCTACTTCAGAAGATGGCAGGAGAGAGAGAGAGAGTGAGAGAGAGAGAGAGAGACAGCGCGAGCGCGAGAGAGAGACAGCGCGAGCGCGAGAGAGAGCAGGTGAAACTGCCACTTATAAAACCACCAGATCTCATGAGAACTCCCTCATTATCATGAGAATAGCATGGGGGAAACCACCCCCATGATACAATCACCTCCCACCAGGTCCGTCCCTTGACATGTGGGAATTACAGTTTGAGATGAGATTTGGGTGGGGATACAGAGCCAAACCATATCAACCATCTAATAGGTCATAAATTAATGTTTACAAGACAGTATAGTGGTTACAATACAGGGTAAACATCATAACACTCACTATGTTGTATAGATGGGATAATGGGATGTGATACAATGGAAACATAAAAGAAGTACACCAGGACATTTGAGGTGGGTAATCTAGACCAAAAGCTGGCAAACAACAGCCTCAGGCCAAATCTTGCCTGCTGTGTGTTTTTATAAATTACTTTTGCTTGAAACACAGCAACACTGCTTTCTTTCCAGTTTGTCTGGTTTCTCTCTCTGTACAACAGCAGAGATGAGTAGTTGCAGCATAGACCATGTGACCCAGAAAGGCTAAAATATTTTTCTGACCCCTTTATAAGAAAAAGATTACTGATCCTTTATGTAGACCATTTATTCATACTCTATGAGTAAAAGCAAAGAGGTCTTACTAGTACTAGGAGAGACAGCAGAATGAAGTAAAGGTAGTGTTAAAGAAGTTCTGGAGGCCTGAGGTGACTAAAAAATTTAGAATTTTCTGTGATGGAGGGTTGTCCTGAGCACAACCAGTGTCTTCATTCAAACACTGTTTCCTCCAAAAAGCTTTTCTTGTAGTTTCCCAGCCAGAGTTAGTTACTTCCTGCTCCAACCATTATATTTATGTTATTACAGCACCTACTGTAGGTGGCTACATGATTTAAGAGCAAGAACCATCCTTTTTCATCTTTGAATCATCTTTAAAACATATATTCTAATAATAGCACTTCAGGGCTGAATATTAAATACATACATACATGAATTTAAAAAACAACCACCAGCTTGATTCCTGTAGTTTAAAAGCCCAATCATGTTTCTTGCAAGAATATTCTTAAAATCGCACATCTGACCAATCAGCAAATATTTACAGCTGGTTTTCCGCTATGGAATATGAGACATTGGGCATTAACAGCTTAGCAAATGGCAGATTACTATTTTATTGAACATTTTAATAATTATATATTTTAAATAACTAGATAAAATAGCTTTCAAAATGTGGTCATAGTTAACTGCCAGATGAGTGGTATAGTTTGTACGTAACCTATTCATGGCATTTAGAAGGCAAAGAGAACCTCACAGTTCTTTTTAAATTCCCGCATTATTTATTTTCAGTACTCTTCCTCTATTTCCTAAATGAAATGAGTCCTAATAACTTCTGGGTCGGTAGCTAAGATTTGTGATTTTTATTCCCAAATTGGAAGATAGTCTGTTTTCAATGTAGCTGTCTCTTCAGTTTCGAAAATGATGTTTTATGATATTAATAAGGCAAAATGGCAAAATATGTTAGAGTAATTAATAATTAATTACATTAGTATGTTTATGTTGGGAAGACATATTCCAGAATTAGGATATACGGAAGAGAGAAGACACCAATGCCTATATATATTCAATACGGAATTAAAATATATCTTTGGAAAAAATTGTTTTGTTTGTTATTTGTTTTTGAAATTATTTATGTTATTATTCCTAATGTTATATCCAAATATTTATTATAAGTAATTTGGCTTAAAAGTGAAAATGCATGGTTTGAATGTTAAGAATATAAATGTCTCAGGCTTAGTTTCTGGGTTTTCTTTTCTACTTTCTTAATCATATTCTTTCTAATTCTTGCCCTTTTCTCACCTGGGCACCCTGAAGTAAAGTTTGCAGTACAGAGTTGCAAAATAAGTCCTTCTTGAAATTTAATTGTGTTTGTGCTAGCCTACAGTTAGATCTTTTCAAATAATTTTATGGTAGTTTATTAAAATAGGCAGCATTGAATATGTAATACTTTTCAAACTTGGCTTTTTCTTTTCTTGGATAAAAATTAAAATCAAGTGATTCCATTCCATCTATTAATAAAAGGGTTTTAACACCTGATAAGAAACTCCTTTAAATAACTTAGGTCTCCAAAGTTGAAGCCCAATTATGAAATGCCAGAGCAGAGACAGCCAGTAGAGGTCATAAAAAGATACCACTGTCACATGACACCACTGCGAGAACCATCAGACTCCCTCATCTGCACAATTTTAAATATTTTGAGAAGTTACAAAAGAAATGGGTTCTATAAATGGATGACTCAGTCCTACATGATTCTGAAGCTGAAGTCCAGAGGAACTATTACATATATAAATCCAGAGACACTGAAGAAGAGGAAAATGAATGCGCAGTGGACTCCTTTCCCAACCAAAGCTTCAGCACACCAAGGAAGCTTGAGAGCTAGAAACATGGGTATATAAACACATCCAGGCTGACCTATTCTTTCTTTGAGTGATAGCTGTTCTTGGCTTCAACCTGTGTACTCACTAGTTCTATAGGGTAGTAAATTAAGACCATGGCTGTGCAGCCAGATAGCTTGAGTTTGAAATGAATGTGAGCTTTGACATTTGCTATCTATGCAAACTAAGACAAGGAATTAAACACCTTTAGGTCCCAGTTTCATCATCTTTAAAATGAGGAACAAGGATCACACCTACCTCATGGGTTGTACTGAAAATAAATGAGTCAAAATATGCAAACAGCTTAGGACTTGGACCATTGAGAGTGCTATTTCTGTTGTTGGTGTTCTTAATATTATACATTGTGTTCCAATTTAAATGTACTAAGTGTATTATTTTCCTCAGGTGTAAGAACATTTTGTAGATTAGATCTGCTCATATCCCATTAGCCTCAAATTAATCTAATCATTGCTATTATCATTAGGAAGTCTTAGTATAATAACAGACTAAATAACAGACGAAAATACTTTAACTTTGTTCTTGCAAACACAATTATTAACTTTTCCAGGCACCTTGAAACATACCAATTTGGGAGACTAATGATAAACTGATAGCAATAATATGCAATTCAGAAGAGACAGTATTAGATATAAATTGAAGTACAGATAGGTAATTTTACTCTGATTTGGGGGGGAATAGTAAATAGTTGTTTATGCTACAAATTAATGTGTTCATATCACCAACCATAGTGGATCCACTATCGCTACAATATAAAACTTCATATCATCAGCATATTTGGAAACATAATCTTACATTTCCCTAATTTTAAAACCTGGAATGCAGGCTGGAACAAATCTTAAAGATACAGGAACACACTGTGATTAATAAAACTGTCAAAAACAATTTTTAAAATTCCTGCTGGAGTTGAATTTAAGGATAGATTTGATTTTTTGACAAATCATTACAGCTGAAAAAGATATAAACTTAGTTATTGCTTCCAAAATATCATGCTGTACTTGTATATGCTGTTTAATAAGTAATTAGAGGAAGAATCTGTAACAAGACATGGACATTGTATTTAGTGTTAGTTTAATTCCTATGTGGACTAAAATGGAACTATGAAAATGAAATCCAGCAACCCCATTTCTGGGTATATATCTAAAGGAAGTAAAGTGAGGATCTCGATGAGATATCTGCACTCCCATTTCAACATAGTTCACAATAGACAAGATATGGAAACATACTAAAAGTCTGTTGAATGAATGAACAAAATATTGTGTGTGTGTGTGTGTGTGTGTGTGTGTGTGTGTGTGTATACACAAAATGGAATATTATTCAGCCATAAGACAGAAGCAAGTGCTGCCATTTGTGATAACATGTATGGACCTGGAGGCCATTCTGCTAAGTGAAATAATTCAGATACAAGAAGACAAATACTGCATGATCTTACTTATATATGGAATCTATGTTGTTATACTCATAGAAATAGAGAGTAGAAGGGTGGTTACCTATGGATGGAGGGGCAAGGAAAATGGGTAGATACTGGTCAAAGGATACAAACTTTTAGTTATTCAAGATTAGTAAGTAATGGAACCCTATTTATTTATTTATTTATTTATTTACTTACTTACTTACTTACTTACTTACTTAGAGACAGGGTCTTGCTCTGTTGTCCAGGCTAGAGTGCAGTGGCATGTCTTGGCTCACTGAGATCTAGGCCTCCTGGACTCAAGCGATCCTCCTGCCTCTCACCTCCTGAGTAGCTGGGATTACAGGTGCAAGCTACTATGCCCAGCTATATATATATATATATTTGTAGTGTGTGTGTGTGTGTTTGTAGAGACGAGGTTTTACCATGTTGCTCAGGCTGGTGTTGGACTCCTGAGCTCAAGTGATTCACCTGCCTAAGCCTCCCAAAATGCTGGGATTACAGGCCTGAGCCACTGCACCTGGCCAGTTGTGGACCTCTAGTGCACAATATTGTAACTCTAGTTAACAATATTTTATTGTATACTTGAAATTTTCTATGAGAGTAGAACTTACATGTTCTCACCACAAACACACACACACATACACACACACACACACAAGAAAATAACTGAGTGGTAGATTTGTTAATTAGCTTTATTGTAGTGATTTATTTCACCATGTATAAGGATATCAAATCCTCAACCTGCATACCTTAAATATATGTTTGTCAAATTTTTTAAAAATAAAATAAAGACATAATGCAATAGTAATAATCCTGCATGATGTTGGCATTTTCACTCACCCCCTCATATAAATTCTTCTAGGTTAGCCTTTCTGCTGTTCTGTGACAGTATAGTACCTTCATATTTCCTCATAACTTCAGCCTAGAGTCATATCAAAATTTATTGCTTTTGGACAAAGGTAATTATTTATAAGACACATAGAGGAAAGAGTAGTTAAAACTTATATTTTAAAGTAAGTTATGAAGTTCAAAACAGAGCAAAGAGTGAATTCCTGATTATAAATCTTGGTGGAGTTTCAGGTTTTAAATTTCATTTAGAAAGGCATCAGACCACTTTATCATGCCATTGTTTCTTTTGCTAACCTCAGAGGTTAGAAACAACCTGAGGTCTTATTTTTTTAAGTAATCAAATGAAGTGGAGTATAAAGTCAGGTGTAGGATTTGACTGAAAAAACCATATATTCAAGTGTGGGATATAATCACCACAGAGATTTCCGCCTATGAGCTTGGACTGAATTCATTTAAAAATAAATCTGGGCTGGGGGCGGTGGCTCACGCCTGTAATCCCAGCACTTTGGGAGGCTGAGATGGGTGGATAACCTGAGGTCAGGAGTTTGAGACTAGCCTGGCCAACATGGTGAATCCCCCGTCTCTACTAAAAATACAACAATTAGCTGGGTGTGGTGGCGGGGGTGCCTGTAATCCCAGCCACTCGGGAGGCTGAGGCAGGAGAATCCCTTGAACCTGGGAGGCGGAGGTTGCAGTGAGCCGGGATTGTGCCACTGCACTACAGCCTGGGCGACAGAGTGAGACTCCATCTCAAATAAATAAATAAATAACCCAGGTTGCTTGGTGGATCATGGTTGAAATTTTCATTGAAGTATTTGTAAACTCTAGGTATCTAAGAGAGCTGAGGTCCTCATGTATAGGGATAGTATTTATTTTAGCAATAATATTCTAATTGTTTTTCATTATCATCTCTTTTTTATGTTTATAACCTGTCTCAACAACTATCCCTTTGATTACGGAGACCATGTTTTATTCATTCTAAAATGGCAACACAATGCCCTAAGCATCATGAAAATCAACAAGAGTTCAATAGTGATGGTAATTCAAAATATTGTGATTATACTATTCTGGAATCATTAGATTTTTAAGTATCTTTGTGGTATAAACAGCACATAAATCCACAACATTTGGCTTCAGAAAGAGAGTGTTATATTTTTTTATAGTTTGGTACTTCATAAAGTAGAATAAGAGTATTTTATGACTGTATTTTTAAAGAGCAACAGTTGAAATGCATTTCTCTGGAAGTTAATTTGGTGTGGTACGACAAGCTTTTATGACAACATGAGTCCAGGGTTCGATGATTGCTGTGATATCCCACATTTTGTGCACTGGATTTTTCCAGTTCTGCATCATGAGATGAAGCTTTGAAAAGTGTGTTATGAAAAACCCTGTATGAGTTCAATTTATTCATCCGCTTCTCTAGGAGCCAAATAACTTTCCTAAGTTAGTGTAATAGGTTTCTTCATCAGTTATACATGCCAGAATAATCCTGAGAAATTAGTTTAGGAATTGATGCCCTCTCCAAAACTTTTACATTACTCTCAGCCCTTCCTCCTTTCCAAAGAATGGTTTCAGAATATTTATTGGAAACTTTCAAGTTTGTATTTATATCATACCTGCTTCAAGCACTTTGAATATTGAAGATAATACTATAACATTGACATATATATATGTCTCTCTCTATATGTCTCTATTATCATTGCTATATATAAACTGATCATTGCTATGCTCATTAGCGATTCTTAGTACTATATAAATATATATATTTGTGTGCATATATATGTGTGTGTTTATATACAAACATATTTCTAGGGTTTATTCTTATAGAATATTTTAGTACCTAATGGACGTTAAAATAGTTCTTTTTATGAAATAAGGCTGGAGAGTTACTACCTCACTCCCCCAAACATGTAGATATCAACAGTGATTCCAGAATTTATTTCTCTCAAGCAGCGTAAAATAATAATTAAATGTGGCCTAGTTTTGTTGTCATGTTTTTCAGAAACTTACACTGTAATTCAATTCTTTTTTTTTTTTTTTTTGCAAATTCTACCAACAAGATATGTCCTTGTCTCTCTATTAGGGTACTGAGAAAATAACTTGTGCTCTCCTTCTCAGTTCCAAAGACTGATAAATATGTTTTGGTTTATCTACAGAAAAAAGCCAGGCAAATAGTTGTGCTGATAAGATGTAATTGAGATATTATTTGTGATTTGCTTTTACAGGCTTCAACCTGCTGTTTGTTAAGCAGACAAAAGATTCTTAGGTTGAAAGGACACTAACGTTTTTGTGATTCACTGCATCTGGTCACCAATTACCATCATAAAATGAGGAATATTAATTCACTTGCAGGACAGATTTTTAAAGACCTTGCATGTGAGTTTTGCCATCCTGCAAGTCTCTGATTGTGAGTAATTGATGAAAATAGCAATGTGAAAATTACCAACAACAGAAAAGGCATTTATTACTGTACACACTGCCAGCATTCCTTTTATGCCCTACAAACATTTCAGTAATAGGATGCTTCATGAGACTTGGATGCAACCCTAGTATTTGTTAGGACATTTGAAAGGCAGGTGGATGCTTGGCAAAAACATCAGAAACAGCGTGGTTAAAAGATATTCAGAGAAAAGACTTAAAATCTGAGAAGGGCAAATGTTTGCTCAGTTGCCAGAATCAGGTTCTTGTGCAAGCTTAGGTCACAGAGCCTAATGCTGCAAGGCTTACATGCTGCCCAGGATGTGGGATGACGTTCAATTTTTCCTCAAATCCCTTCATTAGAATTACTTGCATTTTTGAAGTTTAAATTTACTAAAAATGAAAGTGAAAACATAACTTTTGCAATTCAGACGATCGACACTTAATAGTCATTTTTGAATTTCTCGTATTTAATTTCAGAATGACCATATGACTTTTGTCACCCTTTATTTACAGCTAGTAAAGATTTCTACACAGACATTAGAAGAATAGAAGAAGAAAATATAGATGCATCTTCTTTTTTCTTGGTTGGTTGTATTAAATTCTATAAACATGATGAATGGGGTATGAAAAGCTCCAAGATGCTTTGAGCAAAGCCACAAGGAAAGGATTACTTTTTAAAATATAGTAATGCAAATATCTAATGTCTATTGAACACTTGTTCTGTTGCAGATATAGTGATAAGAGTTTAGAAATACCATTTGACCCAGCCATCCCATTACTGGGTATATACCCAAAGGATTATAAAACATGCTGCTATAAAGACACGCACACGTATGTTTACTGCAGCACTATTCACAATAGCAAAGACTTGGAACCAAGCCAAATGTCCAACAATGATAGACTGGATTAAGACGATGTGGCACGTATACACCATGGAATACTATGCAGCCATAAAAAATGATGAGTTCATGTCCTTTGTAGGGACATGGATGAAGCTGGAAACCATCATTCTCAGCAAACTATCACAAGGACAAAAAACCATACACCACATTTTCTCACTCATAGGTGGGAATTGAACAATGAGAACACATGGACACAGGAAGTGGAACATCACACACCGGGGCCTGTTGTGGGGTGGGGAGAGGGGGGAGGGATAGCATTAGGAGATATACCTAATGTTAAATGATGAGTTAATGGGTGCAGCACACCAACATGGCATGTATACATATGTAACAAACCTGCACGTTGTGCATATGTACCCTAAAACTTAGAGTATAATTTTAAAAAAGAGTTTTAATGCCATTTATTCCCCCACCTAAAAATTCAAATGGTATTTCACAAATAGCTTGACCAGGATCACCTAGTGCTAGAGATAGTATCTAAAATGAGGTGACCTGGTCTCAAAGCCACCTCTACTAACCACAATCCATATGTCAGAGAGCTTTGGAACAACATGAGATATTTGGAAGCAGATGCTATTTTCTTTGAACATGTTTCTCAGAGAAAAACCATTCACTGTAGTAATGTTCACAGAATTCAAATTATGAGAGTAATGTCAACAGCTGATATTAGATTTTTAAAATCAGTGTTTTCATAAGATAATCATATAGCATACACTAAGTGACACACATGAAATAATAAAATGTACTGAAATAAGTCATTTTAAGTAATTAGTCCCACTAGTTGGTTACATCCTGCTTTTAATAAGAAGAATAGGTGTTGATGATTTGAGCTCTTGTCCTCCTTAAAGTATGATGTTGTGTTTTGTTCTCTGCTCAAATCTTGATTCCCTAGTTGAAATATCACATATCTTTTTCTATTCCTATATACTCTGCTAAACAGCAGTTAAATTCATGCAATCGAATTAAACAAATATTGGTATTTCTTTCATTTTAAAGACACACTTCTAAGCACAAGATGAGTAAAATATGGTCCCTCGTTTCAAGTAATCTAACATAATTCTAGTTAGAGATTCCCATTCCACCTGCTTCAGCAAACTGTGTTTGTGATTGGCTCAGTTCAGCAGGCTTGTTTTGTACATTCCCATCTTCAGTCATTGAGTCAGCCTTTTGTGTGCTCAATGCAATGGAAAAATGTTTAATTCTAAGTTCAAATCCTATTTAAAAGATGAGTGTCTTATGCTATAAAGAATAATGACTTCAGATTTTCAGAATTTGGGAAACTAACTTGGAACCATTTAGTCCTCATTTCTCATTGTACATCTAAGCATGAAAATACAGCACTTAGCTCTATCAGAGAGCTTTAACATAGTTGGAGTGAATTTTGATTATGTTAAAATTTTCTTGCTCTGTCTGACACAGTAGAATAGGGAAGACAGTATTTCTGCAGCTAAGTGTCTAAGCCGCTGGTTCTCTAACTTGTTCCATCCTTCCCTCCTCTCACTGAAAGTTCCTTTTATCCTTCAAGCTAGGGATGGGGATAGAATGGGTCTAAGTGCTAATGATATGTGACTAGATTAAAGGAGAACATAAAATTGAGTCCATGAATATTTATCAAGTATCTACTTTCATTTAGACATTTTTCCAGGTTCTAAGTGGGATAAGAATTACTCCAAGATACTATTTGAACATCAAGGGACATATCGTTTAATCAGTTGAAGGCTATAAGCCTGTGAAAAAAATAAAAGTAGCTCATTTTAATGAGCAAATACAATGTTCCAGGTGCTGGTCTAAATGCTATTTAAGTAGCATTCCATTGAATTATTACCACAACTAGATAAAAGAGTTATTACCCTTATTATTTTCATTTACAGATAGGAGGCATGCACAGAGAGGTTAGACAACTCACCTGAAAATCACAGCCAGTAAATTGTGGAGCTTAAATTATAATAGAAATTGATACTGGAAGAGATATCACCTGGACATAATTAGTTGCATACATCTATAGGTGAAATATAGCAATACATAGTTTCCACATAACACCTACAGATGGCATACATTTACAGGAATCCAGGGTGAAATAAGAAAAGAAGAAAAATACGTAAAAAGAGCATTTATTATGGGATGCTAATAATGTGCTAGGTTTTTTTGTGAAACTAATAAATTAAATTTTCAAAATCATACCAAGGGGTAGGTACAATTGTCCCTATTTAAGAATTCTTATGAAGGAAATTCCATTAGTTTTTCTATTGTTCCTTCAAGAATTTGTTTTAGATTTTTGGCTTAAAAGACACCAATGTTATAGTTTTATAGGTCATAATTCCGAGGCTAAGATCAAGTTGTTGGCAGAACTGCATTTCTTTCTGGACATCCTAGGGGAGGATCTGTTTCCTTGTTTATTTGTGTTTTTGGCAGAATTTAGTTCCTTGAGACTGTAAGACTGAGATTCCGGTTTTCTTGCTGGCTGTCAGCTGAAACCCATTTCTATCTTCTAGAGACTGTCACATCCCTTGGCTCATGACTCTTTCCTCCACCTTCAAACTCTGGAAAAGCAAGTCAAATTCTTCTCCTGTTGCATCTCTCAGACCCACTCTTCTACCTCTTCTTCCACTTCCAAGGACCCTTGTGATTACCTTGGGCCCATGCTTGTGGATAATGCAGGATAATCTCCCCATCTTAAATTCATCTAATTGGCAACCATGATTTCATTATCAACCTTAATTTTCTTTTGTCCTCTAATGTAATAAATTCAAAGCTTCCAGGGATTAGTTCATAGACTTCTTTGGAGGACCATTATTTAGCCTAACACAGGGACCCAGTCAGGTTAAACAACCTAGTGAAGGTATCACATGTATGAGTGGTAAAACTCTGTTGAAACTCTACTACTAAGCTCATATTCTTTACATTGCATTATTTCCAACTGGATGAGACTGCACTGAGTAACACAAATGGGGAAGAGATTAATATTCATTAGGAGCCTCACAAGGGTGCTTTATCTCCCTTTTTCCTGATAGCATTTATGTGGAAAACATAATATTGCCCATTTCACATGAGGAAACAAATTCAGGTAATTTAACTTTCTTGAAATCACAGAAACAGACAAATCAAAAATTGGAAATAACATCTGTTTGAATCCAAAGTCTGTCAACCTCAGAATTTAAACTGAGTCTTGAAGTATAGGTAGAATATAGATAAGCAAAGAGACTGTAATAGATCAATAACGCATGGAGAAAATGGAAACAGAAAAAGTGAGAAGGGGAGAGAGTAGTATTACAGTGACTGGATTTTGAATTTCTTCAGTACAACTTTGAGGCTACTTAAGCTGCTTTCTAAGATATATGAAAGGATTTTTCTTCTTCTACTTATTTACTTAGCTGGTTAATTTTAGCAAATCTTTTGGTATAATAATATAAGTCTAGTGATTTCAGTAAATGAATAATAAGCTCATCATTTGAAAATGCTTGTGTATTTAAAATTTAACATTGTTAAAACAATTATCAAGATACCCCATTGTCTCTGGGGACAAGCCAAAGATAAATTATCTTTCCTGCTATCTTTTTTTTTTAACAATTTGAGATCACATTTCATAGACTTAATAACAGTTTTCATGATGGGTTAAACATTTTGTGAATTAGGAATTTAAATTTTCTTCTCCCATTCATTGTTCATGTGTTACTCTACTCTCCTTTTTGATCCAAGAACCCAAGAGAGACTCCAAGATGTGAAATACCTGGGTTGTGATTTCAGAGCTCTGAATTCCCACTGTCCTTAGCCAGAAATCCCCAAATGCTACTGATTTATGTTGAGTCATGGTTTGTTAACCTCCCAAGAAGTCAGGGATGACCAATTGTTGACACCCTAACCTAAAACATATGTTCATGCCTCAATGTTTGATTGGTGCTGTATTTGAAAAGAGGATTTCTAAATTGTAGATATTGCACTGACTCAATCCAAAGAAATATATTTACCTTAAGTTACATTTTAATTGTAAGAGGAAAATCATAATAAAAATACACAACTCTGTAACCTTAACAACATTTTTTTCATATTTTCTAGGCCATTCAATGGTTGTCCAAATGCATTCATATATTTATAGTTGAAATTATGACAGATGGAAACATGCATTCTTGCTTATCGCTTAATATTCTATTTTAAGTTACTCTAGTTGTTGTCACACAGCAATTTTATACACCATTTTAATGAGTATATTATTGTCCATCGGGGGGCACAAACTACCTAAATGATAAAACGCACCTTCTATTTTTTTAGCTTATGTATGATGTTTCCATAAATGCATTTCTAGAAAGAGAATCTGAGGCTAAAGGAACAGGCAATCTAGCAAAAAATAATTTTGGGCAGAGGGATTCTGGGAAGAACCCTCTAAATATAGCTGCTGTCACAATAGTATTTATTAATAATAATGAATTTTCTACATTGTTTTCATGTGCATACTTGCTATCCTGAGTAAATTCTTCAGATTTGAGCCTAAACAAAATTTTGAAAAGTAAATCAGGTAAGACCTCTATATAAAAGTTCAGTTTCCAGTTAGAACAAAGCAATATAAACAAAACTACTCTCTCTTAAATATGGACTACTCTCCTCTTCATGTTTACTGTATGGCCTCTCCAGTTTCTTCTTTATTTTGAGAATGCCAAGCTTTCCCAGTAAGACCTTTCTACTTACTCTTTGTTCTGCCTATAATATTATTTCACTGGTCTCTCTTCTCTGAGAGCTAAACTCAAGTGGTTCTTTCCTCAGAGACCTTTCCTGAAGCCTCTATTAAATGACCTTACTGCAGCTATTTTTCTTTTCTCTCTTTTTTTTTTTTTTTTTTTGAGATGGAGTTTTTGCTCTGTTGCCCAGGCTGGAGTGCAGTGGCTGAATGTTGGCTCACTGAAACCTCCGCCTCTGGTTTCAAGCAATTCTCCTGCCTCACCCTCCCAGGTAGTTGGGATTACAGGTGCCCACCACCACGCCTGGCTAATTTGAGTATTTTTAGTAGAGATGAGGTTTCACCATGTTGCCTAGGCTGGTCTCAAACTCTTGACCTCAGGCGATCCACCCACCTCGGCCTCCCAAAGTGCTAGGATTATGGGCATGAGCCACTGTGCCCAGCCTTACTGCAGCTATTTTTCTATGACAGTAACCCTTCAACCCTTTTATTTTCTTCATACACCGAACAGTGTCTAAAATGGCTTTCAAAAATGTTAGGTCTCTGCTGCCAGAATATAAGGACATGCAATATTGTATTCTGGCAATACACTGCATGTTTCGTTTTCCTTGTTGTCTCGTGGTTCTGGAGGTTAGAGGTCTGATTTCAAGGCACCAGCAAGGTTGGTTCCTGTTGAAGGCTGCAAGAAAAAGCTGTTTCAAACTTCTCTCTTAGCTCCTGGTAGCCTCAGGTGTTCCTTGCCTTGTACATGGCATTCTCCCTAATCTCTGCCTTCATGTTCACATGCCATTCTCACTGGGTGCAAATTTCCCCTTTTTAGAATTACATCAGTCATACTGGATTAGGGCTAAAGTGTGACCTGTAATAGGTACTCCTGTATGATCTCATCCTGACTTGAAATAGTACACATGCAGGTATCCTATTTCCAAATCTCACTGTGAGGTACTGGATTTAAGGACTTCAACATGTACATTGCTGGGAGACAATTTAATCAATATCAGCACTATTGCTTCATGAATTTCCTGTGACCTATAGCAGGAGCAGAGAGCAATTGGTTGATTTCACCAAAAGCCATAGATAAAAGGGGGTTTCCAAGACCACCGTTTAAAATGTTGAGCTATTTTAAGTGAAAATAGAATATTTTGGAATGGGCTCTCAAGGTAGCCTTTGCCATTACGTGTATTTGGCTACCAAAATTATTATGAATAGTATAATATGTAATTGTTCTGGTCCTTGTTTTATTATTAACAAATACTTTACAGATCGTGTTGTTGTATCATACCCTGTAAAAAATTTGAGAAAAGGATAGAATTATAAAAGAAATCAATATTTTTATCAATTAATTTTTACATTATAATTGATACAAAATAATTGTACATGCTTATGGGGTATAATGTGATGTTGCAATGCGTATATTCATTGTGTGATGATCAAATCGGGTTAATCACCATATTCAGCACTTTAAGCATTTATCATCTCTGGCGGTGATGACACTCAAAATCTTCTGTCTTGAAGTATATACTACGTTGTTACTAGCTATAGTCACCCTAGTGTGTAACAGAATACCAAAACTAGTATTTCCAGAGGTTTGGAAAATAAATGTAACTAAACTTTAAACTTGATTTAAATACTAACAGAAAAGTAACTCTGTGAGTATTTAATAAAATATACCATTTTATCATAATAAAATAAAGATTGAGCTCATAGTTTTTTTCACATTGGGTACTTAACAGTAACTTTAAGTTAGTAAAACTTCTTTGACACCCCTAGAGAGCTGTAGAGACTTTTTTCGTCTCTTTTTCCTTCCTGTCTCCCTTCCCTCCTTCCTTTCCTCATTTTTTTCTTTCTTTCTTCTTTTCTCTTTTTTTCCTTCCCTCCTTCAATTCATGTTTATTAAGCATCTGCTCTCTGCTAGATACTCTTCTAGATTCTGGGGACAGAAATCCTTGCTCTTGTGGAAACTGCATTCTACTGAGCTAAACGAATAACAAATACACAAACAGGTGAAATTATTAGTATATTAATACATTAATAATACCTGCTGAGAAGAAAAGTAAAGAAGGAGAGTGGTATGGAAAGACTTCAGGCAAAAGGATAACAAATTAAATAGGACAGAGAGCAGGACTCAAGAGATCTGGTATAATCTAAGTAAGAATTAAGGAGTGGGCGAACCAAAGTGTAAGGATGTGTAGGGAAAAGCATAACAGGTCAAAGGATTAGCTACTGCAAAGGCTTGGAGGCTGCGCATCTTATCATCTGGTAGGAATAGCAGGTGCCTGAAGCTTAGAATGATGAGAAAAATAGGAAAGCACGGAGCAAAGTGATCAGATCTGAATTTACAGGACCACTCTGTTTGCTGAAAAAACTATGAAAGGGCATGAGTTCAATTGCAGCAGACTAGTTAGGACAACACTGCAATTATCCAGGTGAAGCAATATCCCAGTAAGGTAAGAAGTAGACACTTTCTGAATAATCTGAATGATAGAGCTGAAAATACATTAGTGAATTGTGTGTGAGGTATAACAAAGAGGAGCAAGGATGACTCCAGGGTTTGGGCTTGAGGAATTGAAAGAATGAAGTTGTCATCATCTGAGAGGAGGAGCGTGGGGCAAGAGCACCTCTGAGTGGCTCCTTTTGCACGCATGAAGATGGACATGGCATAATGTTGTGTCCATCATTTATAACTGCATTTTTCAATTGCCAAATGTATCCTCAGTAGTTTCCTTTTTTTAAATTAGATTATACATTCTTCAGGGACATTGGCTTTGTGTTTTCACCTGTGATTCAAATTCCTTAGAAGGTAAGGAGTAAATAATTCTACATTTGAAATCCAAAGCCTGATTCTTATTAGGATAAGAATATTTTACATATTATTTTAGGATTTTGTGGCTAAGTTTTTTAAAAGTAATTTTGACTTAGGTTTTCAATATTTCAGTAACATGCAAGTATACATAAAACAAACTATAGTCTGAATATTTGCATTTGTAAGATACATTGATGGATTGTGATATTCAGGAACACAATATGTGTTGACAACAGAGAGACACGTTTTGGAACCAATCTTTCTCTTTCTGGTTTTGTTTTCACTATCTGATTAAAGAGTTAGAAGTAATGCAATATTAATTGGCAGCTGTTAAGAATCCAAATTCAGAAAGTTCCCAAGAAAAAGAATAAATGTATACTTTTCCTGAGCATATTTGAATAATTAAATGATTTTTTTCTTTGCTTTTAATTATAGCTTCATGGTCAATGATTAGTAAGTATTCATTATAATGTCAACTTTATTTTACAAAATACTTTAAAAAGTCAAAATATATCCCCATTTTAATATTAGCTGTCAAATATGCGTATTGATGCATATATAGTTATGCTAAAGTTGTAATATTTAATGTTTACTATGGGAAACTTAATCATGACCTCCCCCTTTTCTCACTGTCAGTGTACATGGTAAGGCCACCATCTTGCCTTCCTGTTCATGAGGGAACCCGGGAGAATACAGATTTCTGGGGTTACAGGGAAAAATCCATACGTCTCTTCACTCAACTAAGAAAATTAGACTGCTGAGGAAGACTGAACACAAAAGGAAGATCAAAATCCCTCTAAATTTTAAAGATATGTAAACATTTACAAACCTCATTAATTTAAAAAGTTATTGAAAATAAATGAGTGACGCACAATAGTTTCCTAAATAATATCCCCACTGCATATTTTTTTTAAGTTTTGAACATTTAAAACAAATTTTATATATAGACATATAATAGAGTTTATATGTCTTCTTCGATTGATTTAGTTCATTTTTATGTTGTTTCTAGTATTTTAATTTTTAAAGTATTTATATAGTATTTAATACTTATCTGTAGGGTCACTTTATCAAAACATACATGTAAGTCATATTTCTTTGCTGATTTTGGTACCATTTAAAGGCTTAGTATACACAATTTCCATTTTAGAAAAAATGTTGTTTTCTATATTCCTCATAAATCCCAAACTTTCAGTTGAAGCTGTTAGCAAACTAGAGATTCCAGTGGAGAAAGAAAGAGTGAAAGAGAGAAAGGGAGAAAAGAAGGGAGAAAAGGGAAATGAAAGGAGAGGAAAGGAGAGGGGAGGAGAGAGAGAGAGAGAGGAGAGGGAGAGGAGAGGAGAGAAGAGAAGAAAAGAAGCAGGGAAGGAAAAGAAAGAAAAAGAAAGGGAAAGAAAGAAAAAAGAAAGAAAAGAAAAGGAAGGAAGGAGAGGAGAGGAGGAAAGAGAGGGAGAAAGAGAAGAAAAAACGAAAAGAAAAGAAGGAAGGGAGGGATAGAGGGGGGAGGAAGGAAGGAAGGAGAGGAGAGGAGGAAAGAGAAAGGGAGAAAAAGAAGAAAAAACGAAAAGAAAAGGAAGAAGGAAGGAGAGAAGGAAGGGAGGGATAGAGGAGGAGGAAGGAGGGCTGTAACAAATCTTGCTGTTTCACATTTATCAGAATGGCTAAAACAATCAACATATATAATTCTGGTGAGGATGTGGAAACACTTTATCTCTGGATAAAGACACTTTATCTCTGCTTTGCTGGTTAGTTTGTAAAATGGCATAGTCACTTTGGATAAACAGTTTGATACTTACTTAAAAAATTAATTGCACTCCTGGGAATTTTCCTGGGGAAATAAAAACAACGTTCATATAAAACCTGTACACAAATGCCTACAGAAGCTTTATCTGTAAGAGCTCAAACTGGAAGCAACCCTGATGTGCTTCAAGGGGTGAGTAGTTCAACAGCCTGTGCTACATCCAGACGATGGATGGGTCTTCAGCAATAAAAAGGAGCAATACTTGAAATACTCTGGATGACTCTCCATAAAATTATGCTGAGTAAAAAAGGCAACCACAAAAGGTTGCATAGTATGTGGTTCCAATTATGTAACACTCCTAAATGACAACATTCTAGAAAGGGAGGACAGATTATTGGTTGCTTAGTGTTAAGGATAGGAAGGGATTGGATGAGGCTATAAAAGGGTAACATGAGAGATTCTTATTGTGATGGAAATATTCTTTATCTTGAGTCTATTACTGTCAGTATCTTGGTTGTTTTATTGCATAATAGTTTTACAAGATACTCCCATTGGGTGAAATTGGGTAAAGAATTAAAGGTGTCTCTATATTATTTCTTACAACTACTGGTGAATTTCCAATTATCTCAAAATAAAAAGTTTAAAAACCCTTCATCTACACACTCAAAATTAACTTTCTAACCAAAGTTGAATTTTTCATAACATCTTTTAATATAAACCACATTGGAAATGTCATTCCCATAAAACAATTGGTTATTTGTCCCTCAAGTTACGCATGCAGGAAATTACAAGAATTGTTATACAAATAAATGATTACAGGAACAAAAATCAGTGGCTGCATTTTTATTTCAATTAAATATTTTGATACTTTATATTGAACATATGAACACCTTCTACAAGCAGTTACATAGTAAAGTCTTTAGAGCAGATTAGCATTCAAGATTTGGTAAAGACGACAGTGGAAAAACTAAGAAGTTACTGGCAAACAGTAAGAATAACTTACAGTTCATACCCATGTAAATCATGTAGTTTTCTTTCTCTGGAATATATAGTAGGTATTCATTTGCTCATAAAATAAGCTTAGATTCTTTACTCATAATGTACAATATTTACACATTTTTGAAAGAACCCAAAATTGCTCTGGGGAAAAAAATGTAAGGTATTATGTAATATTTCCTGAAATATACACCTAATGTCTAACATGGCTGTGGCATTAAAAGTAATGATGGGGCCAGTGCAGTGGCTTCCTGCCTGTAGTCCCAGCACTTTGGGAGGCTGAGAAAAATAGATCACAAGGTCAGGAGTTCGAAACCAGCCTGACCAATATAGTGAAACCACATCTCTACTAAAAATAGAAATTGTTCTTTGTGCATGATTTATGACAAAATTATGAGACCTTTACATGTGTGGAAATAAAACACCTAAAGTTATTTCAAAATACAAAAAAAAAAAAAATTAGCTGGGCATGGCGGTGCGTGCCTATAATCCCAGCTACTTGGGAGGCTGAGGCAGGAGAATCGCTTGAACTCGGGAAGCAGTAGTTTCAGTGAGCCGAGATCACGCCATTGCATTCCAGCCTGGGCGACAGAGCGAGACTCTGTCTCAAAACAAAACAACAACAAAAGAAGTAATGATGGTAGCAGAAGCAGTGGTAGCAGTAGTAGTAAAGCTCATATTTATTGAGTGCTTGCTACATATTGGCAATTTTCTAAGAGATTTAAATATTTTTACATGCTTAATTCTCATAGCAACTACTATAAATAGGCATTATTATTATTTTTGTTATTATTTTCATGACCATCATCTTCCCCACTCTACAGATAGGTAAAATGAGGCACAGTGAGCAGCCTGGATGAAATTGCTCAAGGTAGCATCAGAAATAAGTGACAGAACTGGGATTCCTCCCGAGGTGGGCTGGCTCCTAAACATTCCATGCAATGGATATCCTTTTTTTTTTTTAATTTCTCTGTATAATTTGTCATATGTTACCCATTATTTTACTGAATTATTTATTTTAGAATAAATGCTATGGATTTTAGTAGGTTTCTATTCTACTACTCTGTGTGTGTGTGTATATATATATATGCAAAAGTTATTGAATGTTAACTTCTATGACTCTTATTATTTTGGCAGGAACTTTTGCGAATATAATATGCTCCATCATGCATTGTCCTAAATGGCTTCATTGAAGAAATTCAATTGAGCAAGCAAATGAAAGTTTATAGTCATCTGCATTTTGGACAAAAACAAATCTGTCTTTTAATTGGTGAAATGCTTGTTCAATTATCACAGAGTAATAGAGCTTTCAAAAAAAGGATTATGATTCTATGAGAAGTTTCATTCTCTGAAAATCTAACATTTTTGAGACAACTGAGGGTTTTTTTAATATGAATGGATTTTCATTTTGCTAACTTTGGATAGAGATTTTCTAGCATGTATTGCCAATGGCATTGCGTTTGAAAACTGTTTGGATTATGTCTGTGAAGATGGGTGGGACATCACTTCAGGGACAGGAATGAGAAAGCGAAGCTGCTAAGAATCAAGATAGCATGGTCGCTTATAGACATGGATTTCAATAGAGTTTATGTCAAAGAATGGTGCCAGAGAAAGGTAAACATTGGTTGAAACATTTGGTACCCAGGGATTAAAAGATTTTTGTTGTTTGTTTTTTAAACAATTGTAATGCAGCGCTACTGAATAATAGTGAGACTTGGTGTGTATTGATAAAGATAGGCTAAGCTATCTTGTAGTAAGAAATAAACTACAAAATATATGGGCTAAGCACTATATAGGATTAATTTATACTCATTGAAACTCTATGCAGTTCAAATGTTTCTTTCATTCATTTAGTAACTAGATATCTGGAACACAAGACCACTGTGTTTCTCAATGGTAGGAAGACACGTTGCTGATGAAACAGATTGGCTTGTTACTGCCTCAAACCAGAATTGACACAGGTCATGTCACGTCACATTGCTTTGGTCGGAACTAGTTATGTGGACCCAAACATAGTGCAAAGGAGATTAAAAAAACAGATCTGAGATACCAGTTACTGACTGTCTGTACCTCATGGATTGAGAGAGTAATATTTTAAAATTCCAATTCTAGATAATAGACATAGAGGATTTTATGTTTTCTAGTGCTTTTTTTGCTGGCAATAAACTAGTCTTTCATAATTTATGATATTAACAATTGCATGTATCTGAAGTCATTTGAAAGTGTCTTCATGTACATGATCCATATTCACAAAATTTTTGTATGATAATTAAGATATTTTCCAATTTACAATAATGGGAAATTAGGCATAGCTTAGTAAGGGATCGAGTTAATGATACCCAATGGCCACCCAAATTCATTGTAGACTTGTCTATTTCTATTCTAGACACCTCATCTATATTTAAACAGGGAACTTCTATGCATGTAGTCACTGTGAATTTGTTGATATTTTGAAGATAATAAATATACAAATCTTAACAAACTTTCCTTTCCTATTCAATTTTAGTGTTAATATTATACCTAACTAATTTGCAACAAAGACAAAATGGCACATAGTTTTGAACTTTTAATAGGTTAGTTCCTATGTGGGAAACAGATTTTAGCAGAGCCTTCATATGCTTACTGGGCTAAATTCTTGCTGTCGGAATTCACTGAACAAATTGCAGCTCTGCATACATAGAATTTACTCATTGCTCCCACAGCTCTAGATATTACAAAAAATATATACCTACTTAACTGGGAAATACTTAATTGCTTATAGATATCATTGTCTTCATAGGAATTGTTCAAATATTATTATTATGAATATATATGCATTATTTCAGTGTTTTCTCCCCCCCACACCCCCCCCTTTTTTTTTTTTGAGTCTTGCTGTGTCACCCAGAGTGGCATGCAATGACATGATCTTGGCTCACCGCAACCTCCACCTCCCGGGTTCAAGCAATTCTCCTGCCTCAGCCTCCTGAGTAGCTGGGATTACATGCATTCGCCACCACGCCCAGCTAATTTTGTATTTTCAGTAGAGACAGGGTTTTCTCCATCTTGAACTCATGTATTTCTCACTACCATAATTTATCATGCATTTATTCATCTATCCGTCTCATTGAGAGATCAGAAAAGCATGTTTTGTTATTCTTTCCGTGATAAAGATGGAAAAAGTGAGCCACAGAGAATTTCGGTGACTTCCCCAAAGTCACAGGAAACACAGCTGGTAGTAGGAGACCCGTTTTTTTTGTTTGCTTTTTTTTTAAATGTAAACTTTCCCATTCTTAGCACAAAGATATACTTTTTTTCCCCCAGAACAATATGCTGACTCTCAATTTTCTGAAAATATATGTCAGAAACATTCAAAGATACTGTCCTTGAAATATTTTGAGGAGCAATGGCTAGACATCTATTACAGAGTAGAAAAGTGGGCATCTTTTATGGGGTAGAAACACAATATTTGAAGTTCTACAGCAAGGATGGGCAAGATGAGAGGCTAAAGACATTTATGTAATTTTAAGTCTCAAGAAGAGAATAAGAAAATTAATACAAAATTTGTGCATAAAAATTGTCCATGTGCAGTTCAAAAAGTTGTGTTAATTTATTGAAAATGAGCTAGATTCTGAGTGAGTGTGCGTAGTGAAGAAAAAAAGATTAAGAAAACACAAAAGAGAGGTAATGGGCCAATTCATCCACGCTTAAAAGCCTTTAACATTGTATAATGGTGATATAATAATACCACTGTCTATTGTTTGGGGAAGTTTTGATCAGAAAACATTTTAAGAACAGCATGATTTAAAATTCCGTTGTATCTTCTATCATTTCAGACATGTTCATATTCAATTCCTGCTCTGCCAACAGTAAAATATGATTTGAAATGCTTCTAAATAATAAGGAAATAATATGTTAAAAATATTTTCATAAAATGCCCTCTTAATGTTTCATAAATGCAGTCTGTTCTTGCATAAGGAGGATTAAATTTTTAGGAGCAATCTACTTTTTCATATCTGATTGATATTTTGTTTATCTCATAGTGTATATTTAAATGTAAACATTGGCAAGATGATATCAATTATAGTAACATTCTTAATTGTATATGTGGTTACCATTGGCTAGGAAGAACTGATACATAGCTGCTAATTATTCAGCTTCATGAAACTGTCTAGGGATAAAGATGATTACAACTACTAGATAAGTCTGCATTTATCAAATAGACTTGGTTTTATAGTTTATATTTTAAGAAAATGTATAAGACATTCTGCATTTAGTCATTTGTTCTAGATTCTCTGCCTTATAAATATTTCTCATCTTAAGCATGCCTGTATATAGTAAAATTTTATCATTCATATAGGTATAACATATCACTCCCCTCTATTTTACCACATAAACATTTGTTATAATGTAATATTACTGTGATAATGAACGAGCCGGAGTAGGTAGGGGTCAAACCACAAACAGCTTTCTTTGCATTGCTTTCCTCCTTGTCCTAACAAATCTCTTTCACCTGGCAATATTTCAGGCTGATCCCATAGTTTTACTAATCACTCTCAGCTAAGAATTGAAGCTTCTTTTTCATGTCATAAATACTTCAGTCCAGCTTAATATTAAAGATAACCTGTCACTTATAAGTGGGAGCTAAATGATGAGGACACGTGGACACAAAGAGGGAAACAGCAGACACTGGGGCCTACCTTAGGGTCAGGGGTGGGAGGAGGGAGAAGATCAGAAAAAAAAATAACCGTTGGGCAGTAGGCTTAGTACCTGTGTGATGAAACAATCTGTACAACAAACCCCCATGACATGAATTGACCTATATGACAAACCTGCACATGTAACCCTGAAGCTAAAATACAAGTTTTTTAAAAAACATCATCCACTTTAAAGCTAAACTTCCGTCCTACCTCCAGCCTAGCTTAGGATGAGAAGCCTGTAAAGATGAAGAGTGGGGAGTCAGGTGCTTCTCACTTCCTTTCTCCTACTCCTGATCCATTTGCTGGCTGTAGTGTCTGTTATCCAGTGTTAACTCCAGTAGTTTTGAGGGATTTCAGCAAAACAGAACAAAACAAACAAAAACAGTCACATGGCTGGTTTGGTTTTAAATTGCGTCTATGTCTGGGTGCTCAGTCAAACCCCTGAGAATTATTGTACCTTTTGGAGGTTTCTTAGAGAAACTTTTCCTCCCCCAGTAATTTCCAACTATAGTTTCCTGGCAAGGATGTCACTCCTTCTGATCTCTGACAGATCACCCTTCACCTGCTGCTTCCAATAGCCCTAAACCATACAAACTTTCTCTTGTGGTGAACTCACAATCTTCTCATCAAGCTATTTCTAGGCTGACTGGTTCCATGAGGACTCAGATCCATCCAGCTGTAGGTGTGTGCCTTTGCCCTGCCTTGGGTGGAAGTACAATTTATTCCTGTGCTGGTCATCTTTCCTTCTGGAAAAGAAGCACTAGCCAGCCTCACAGGCGTTTGTTTCAGGTGGTAGACAGGTTACTGATTGTCATTAAAATTAGAATTGGAAATCTACGTGTTTAGCAATTAGGCTTGTGTTTATTTTCCAGTAACTGAAAACTTAACGAGCTGAGCTTTCGACAGTTAGGTTTATGTTTCTCATATCCAATAAATCTGAAGGTAGACAGTCCAAACTTGATGCTGTTGCTCAAAAACACTATCTCAGATACAGGCTCCTTCCGTTGACCTGTTCTTCCATCTTTGCCATCTGTCTCTTTTAGTTTCAGGATCCCAGGGTGGCTGCTGCAGTGCCACGCATTAAGTCTGTATTTCAAACAGGAAGAATTAGGGAACCAGAAGCCAGATGGGTTGTCCCTTCATATTAGGGAAGCAATATTATCTGGAAAACACCCAGCTTATTTCTCATTGGCAAAGTATGCATGTCATGGATATACTTAGTTGCTCAAGAGTCTGCACACAGTGAGCGTATTTCTACCTCACAAATAAAATCTAGGAAACAATAGAAAGGAAGAAGAGGCAATTACTGTTTGATAAGTACCTAGCCCTGTCTGACATGATGCTTTTCCTTCTCAGTTCTTGGAAAGCAATTTTCTAATATCCTCTTTGGAAATATCCAGTGATGTTCCTTAAGACTTAGAGAAGACGCTTTTGAAAACACGCAGTCAGTTGCTAAAAGGATTTATGTAACACGTGATTTTAAATGATCAAACAGCAGCTAGACTATAGTTGGTATGACTGTTGGGGGAAAAAGTATAAATGTTTTGAAATGAGGGAGGAGATAGAAGATATTTCTACAAACTCCAATAATCCCAGATAAGACACAATTTATTCTTTCAGATGGCTTAATCTGAGAATATATGCCAGCAGTAAAACACCAAACTTGACCCTGATGAAAGTGTCACTACAAGGCAGAAATATAATCACTCGAAATATTGAGATTCAGATATTATTGGTTTTTGTTTATTATTGGTTTTTATGTAGTCTGAACTATGATGCAAATAGCCTAGACACTCGGCCGTCTATAATATGAGTCTCTTGCACACCTTGATAATTTTCTTCACTTATGGAAAAATAAAACAATAATAAATTATCAGAGAAATTTAAAGAAATTAAATATAATGGAAAATGAAAAACAAAAAACCTTTTCTTTGACAAACATTTCCCAGTGCTGCATAAGGAATTCATTTTTTGCTGTATTCCAGTTTGGAACCTTTAATCTTATAGCTTTTAACTATATATTCATCTTAACATGTCACAATGTACTAAACATACTATTCAGTGAAATATTGCTCCATTATATTTGGTTTGTTTGTTTGATCCAAATAAAGAGAAATGACTCAAACACATCAAACACTTCTTGCCACTTTCTGTGTGAGTACGAATTTTCTTGATTTGAAGAAAGCATGTTTCTTATACAAAGCTACAGAATGAAACATTTGAGGTAAAGATAAATATATCCATCATCTAGCCAGACAGAGATACCTTGGTTACCGATAGTACTAACCCTATCTGTTTTAAAGTTTGTAATATTTTTTGATTATTTTGAATTATTATGATTTTTTAAATATGTACCTGAAATTGTTAGCCTTAGCATCCAATATACTTTTAACTTTTAAGGAGGTGGTGCTCTGTGGAATTGGAGTTTTTGCCTGCTTAGGTCACTCCCTGTCAAATCCTTCTGCCAAGCCATTTTCAAAGTCAAGTTCAGGGTACCTCCCTCTGGGAAATGAGGGCTCCTCTTTGCAGAATCCACTCCAGGTGTGCTTCTGGTGCCTGGGTGTTTGGTTAAATAGAACTGTCTCCCCAGATAGTGGAGGAATACCCAAACAAGAATTAAATAATGAAATGTTGTCGTAAGGGTCACAGAACTGTAAGGCTGTCAATAACTTCAACTTACAGATGAGAACACTGAAGAAAATAGTGAAGTGGTTTCTCTAGCATCATCTTGATGTCATTGCCCACACAGGAAGTGTCCAGGTTTCTCACCCTGCTTTAAACATATTAACATACATATTTACTTATTTAGTATACCTACATATATATTTAAAATGTAGATTATTTATATTTGAATGACACATTTAGAATGAACAAACTAATTTATTCTATGTTTTAATATTAATTTAATAATTTACATGTCTTAAAAATCTTTATGCCACAACCATGTCTAAAACACATGAAGAAGGCTCGTACCATTGCGGAGAGAGAAAGAGAAAGGGAGAAGGTGACTTTACATAGATATGTTTTATTTTATATATTCACAGCGATTTGTTAGACAGCTAGAAATATGAATGCAATTAATCTAGGTCTCTAAATAGATCAGTGAAATAAACTTTTAGTCTTTTCTTCCTATTTATAACTTTTACTAATGTATGTCCTTTTATATTGTACAATAAAGCCTATTTTCTTCTCAATATTTTGATATATCAGTAAAGCAATGATGTCATGGTTAATGCTAGTGAATAGTTATGCATATCCTATAACAGAAGGTAAATGCTGAAGGAGTGTGGTCTCATTTTTCTGTTTATCAGTCCAGAGAGCTATATAGTTTATCATTAGTTGTATCTGTACTAAAACATTTTCTCTTAAAAAATAGTCTAGATGTTTCTGCGCAAGGGAGATGTTGGGGGGATTGGAGTATGCAGCAGTACAAGTCCTAACACAAAATGGGCTTCCCCTTTCTTTTTGTCTCCTCATTTCCATATTCCACAAGACCACCTAAAGTTATGGACCATGAGGAAGCTCTACGACCTAAATTTTCCAGGCTTCATTTCTGAAATGTGAGCCCAGAGACAGCTGGAGCTAGAGTCTTAAAAGAAGTATAAAGTCTTCTTTATTTTTGAAATACTCTCATAACAAATGAAAAATCCTTAGAAAAGGGTCTCTGTCTTACTTGCCTTAGCTTCCCAGTTCCTGGTGTATTATTGGTGCCAAAAAAAAGTGTTTTGAATGAATATATGAACAAAAAAATGGACAATTGAACAAAATAATTTTTAATAAGTAATGTCATTTTTTTAATATTTCTACTAGTATTTTCCAAAGACCAACTTTTAGACAAAATACTTGTATTTTATGCTGTTAGGAAACTATTATCTGTGGAAAGAAGTTCAGAAATTTCTCACAGAGCTTAAAACACAACTACCATCCAATCCAGCAAAACTATTACCGGATGTATATCCAAAAGAAAATAAATTGTCCTACCAAAGGAGACATGTTCTTGTATGTTCATCACAGCGCTATTCATGAGAAGGAAAACACGGACTCAACCTAAGTGCCTAAGTGCCCATCAACAGTGGGTTGGATAATGAAAATGTAGTACATATACACCATGGAATACTATGCAGCCATGAAAAAGAAAAAAATCACACCCATTGCAGCAACATGGATGCAGCTGGAGTCCATTATCCTAAGTGAATTAATGCATGAACAGAAAACCAAATACCACATGTTCTTGCTCATAAGTGGGAACTAAACATTGTGTGCTCATGGACATAAAGATGGCAACAGTAGATACTGGCAACTAC
This sequence comes from Homo sapiens, assembly GCF_000001405.40. Classification (NCBI taxonomy): domain Eukaryota; kingdom Metazoa; phylum Chordata; class Mammalia; order Primates; family Hominidae; genus Homo; species Homo sapiens. The sequence goes on along the minus strand of NC_000008.11, from coordinate 14,646,217 downwards.
TAGAGAAGGGGGAGTCAGGAGCAGTAAGCTGAAAAACTACTTGTGGGTACTGTGCTCAGTATCTGGGTGCAGTTGTACCCTGAACCTCAGCATCATGCGGTATAACCATGTGACTGACCTGTATATGTATTCCCTGTATCTAAAATAAAAGTTAAAATTCAAAAATAAAAATAAAAAAGGAAACTATCTCTACAAGCTACTTTAATTTGTTCAAGATTCTGAGATTCTGAATTTCCAATTTTTCTCGTTTTTATAGAATAAAGTTGTGCATAGTAAGAGAACAGGTTGAAGAAAGCAAGGTAATTAAAATATCATGAGGTACATTATGGAACACTTCAATTTAGTTTAATTGAGTAAAACAATGCTTTCATAATGCAAAGAAAATAAAATTTGCTGTGAATGTCTGCATTTGCTTACATTGTTAATGAGTGTATCAATCAACAGATATTATTTGGTAACTTACTACGTAAAAATTTACAATATTAAAACAGAATGTGTGTGTGTATGTATGTGTAAATGGACTATAAGGTCATTAGGAAATATGAAAAGGTGCGTATGGGGTATAATAGTGTTATAAGTGTTCCAAGATAGGAAAAGATCATTTTCAATCTGATGCTGTTTATCCAAGCTTCGAGGATACCAGGAATTTATTTTTGTCTATTTGTTCCTAATATACAGCATTTTTAAAATAAACATAATTATTGCATATATGTGCCATATATATATATATATACATATAAATATATATATATAATCAATGATACTTTTCTAATTGGTCATAAAGAAACCTGCAAATATTTTAATTGGCTGTGTAAAAAGTTTTAGAGGACGCCAGCATGTGTTACAAAAATAAAGGAAAACTTTCCCTTCAATTTTATAATAATGGTAAAAATTTAAAAAATCATGATTATTTTTAGAACATAAGGTATAATTCGCAATAAGAAAGAAATATTTCATCAAAAAATTGAAGAAGTTGTCATTGTGAACCCTTTTATAGCCAAAAATTTTGTAGAGTAATTTAAAAATCATTCAGAGATCCATTCCTCATTTTATAGTTTAAGTTGAAATTTCAGGTACATTTTTAGGAACTAAATGATAGATCAATGGTTTTCAAACTTTTATGCCCTGGGATGCTTGCCAAATATAAAAATTCCTAAGCCTTTTCTCAAATATTTGATTTATTAAGGCTCAGATGAGACCTGAGACCACCTGCAGATAGACTGTAGGCCACAGTCTAACGAGTAACGTTGGAGACTTTTTTTTTTTATTTATGCAACTACACAAAGGCTTTATATTTTATATTTCTGTCAAGAGGTTGGCATCTGAATCAGTGAGAAAGAAATCTGGTCTTCGTCATCAAAATGTTTGACTAATTTCCCCATAACTTAAATCAACTAATTCTTAGAATTAGTTGGTAATCTCATTCAACAGGTAGAACTAGATTTGTTAGCTACGTAAGAAGTACATTTGCATTTCTAGATTATTCTGATATTTTTGCAAATTTTCATTAATTTTTGGCTGGTCTCTTAAAATTTTGAAGCATGCCATAATAGAGGCATGACAGAAAAAGAACACATTCCCCCAAATAAAAGAGTTCAAGAGCCACAGACACCTTGACCCAAAACTCATTGATTTTCGAATCAGGATCTCCAGAGATACAAAACCATTAATGGACTTTGAAGGAGAGATAAAGAGAGACAAAGATAAATTTTTTAAAAATTGGCTGGCACAACTGTAAAGACTGGGAAGTCTAAAATCTATGAGGCAGGCTTGGTAACTGGAAACTTGGGTAAGAGTTGATGTTGCAGTGTGTAGTGTGAATTCTGCAGGGCAGCTTGCTGGAAGGTCAGCAGGATTTCTAGATTTCAGCCTTGATCCAGAATTTCTTCTTTCCTGGGAAACCTCAGCATCTGCCCCTAAGGCCTTCAACTGATTGTACAAGCTCTACTCACTTTATGGAGGGCAATCTACTTTACTCAAAGTGTAGATTTAAATGTTTACCTCATCTAAAAAAATACCTTTATAGCAATATCTAGATGGGTGCTTGACTAAACAACTGGGCACCATAGCCTAGCCAAGTGGAGAAATAACATTAACCATCACAATAGGTAAGAAAATATTGATAGGTATGCTAGATCATAATACTTAAAAGTTATTTTCATTCTTATTTCAAGTTATCCTTGATAGACCTTACATGTAAAATACTACCAGGTACAAAATATATTTTTAAGAATTGTACAGAATTGTACAAGTATTGGTCTTTCTTCATTCACACTGACTTATAATGTATTTATTTTTAATTTATACATTGCAGTTCTATTCTTAGCTGTTGGTTACTTATAACTTTATCTTAATTTATTCAGCACGTTAAGCTGTGAAAAGAGGGTTTCTGTGACTCATGATAGAGGCAACCTTCAATTTAGGATGTGACTTGTTTGAAGGAGAAGCAAATGAAAGCATACTATATTATGCAAGACAGGCCTGGTTTATCTTTCAGATATTTCCAAGCTTTGATTTTTCAGTGCCTTGGAATGCTTCTATCATCAACACTTTTAGTGATGCTCCTGTTGAATATAATTTATCTATCAATATAGTTATGAGGGAATAGGTTGGAGGTGGAGTCATTATCATCCATTTATTGTCTTGCCATGGATTAAGCTTCTCTTTTTTTTTTTGAAAAATATTCACTTATCTCCCTGACCTTTCTTTCTTCGCATCTGCTCATTCCACATAATTTATGTTTATAAAACTCTACCCCTTCTAATTGTCTCAATTTTAGGAACAAAATAATCTAATTAAGCAAATTTTTAAATTATTTCTTATTCAGAGCTACTTGCATTTACAACAATAATATTCATGAATCCAAATATATCTCTAATAGATGACATTTCAGGTAGACAGAGAAAGTGAAATATATATATTTCACTGTCTGCATGTATTATATATGCATATATGTGTATATTGCCACCACAGAAGCCCAACAGCGTTCAAAGGTGGAGTTGACTTCCTATGTTCAGTGATGCCAATCAGGAAATACTTTCTTGCTTTCCACTCTTTTTCCCCTTCATCTATTTTGCTATTCATGTTTTAAAATTTATTCTTTTGGAAGAAGTGTATAGGTAGAAGGAGAAGAAAATATTTCATTGAAAGCAATAGTATAGCACATTTGCTTTATAGAAAAGAAAATCAAAGTCAAAATATATTCATTTAAAAAATACTATTCAGCACCTTCTATGCACAGGTCATTTTTCTAGGGGTTTGCAATATATCGAGGTGTGAAACAGAAATCTCTACCCTTTTAAGCTTACATTTCCGTCTGTACTAAATATTATAAAGTTCAAGCAACATATTGCCCTATGCTTTCCAATACTTTTTTAAATTGAGAAATCATGCTGTGTTTCAGTACAAAAAGTCAGTGCCATTTTGTATTACTTTGCTTAGATATATATATTATTTATTTCTTTATAACTGAAAAATCTATAAATCTGACCAACAAATTAAGTATTTACATTACAAAAAAGACCAGTTATCTTGTGTATATGTTGATTTTTAAATAAAAGTAGCATTGACAATAAGAAAGGAAGCTACCATTGAAAATTAACATAGCATTTGGAAGAAAAATATTTGCCCTGTAGAGTTATACATAAAATATTTTCATCTCACTGAGAGTGTTAAACTAAGCTGTTAGAAGAAGCCAATATGTAAGGTCGATACCTTACATATTGTAACTTACATATAGTAAGTTACCTTACATATAGTAACTCTCTATAACACTTGACTTGAAGAGAATCTTTCAAATCATCAATAAGGAAAGAGATTTGTCTATAGATATTAAAAATGGGTGTGACCATCTCTTAGACTTTTTCTGACTTAACAAGGAGATGGTATAGTTCTTATATAATTTTATAACAGCTATAGAAACAGAACTAATAGAAATAATAATGATATTGTTACAATTATTTCACCTACTTTGTAAATGATTTTGTCCCATCTGATTCTCTTCCCAATTTCTTCCCATCCTAAAAGAGGACAAGGAAATATTCACGTTAGTTGTCTCATTAGCCATGACTTAAATGTTTAACTGGCCTGTATGGCTGTGCTCTGAGACTCCTGGTGCTTTTCCATTAGTAAAATACTTCCAGGTGAATTGTACAAACTAATGATCCATTGGTACATGGACTTTTTGTAAAGCAGTAAGATAAGACACTATGTAGGTCATTTTCCAAGGCCTTGCATCCCTGCAGAGATACGTGTTCAGGAAGTAAGTAGCTTTTGTTTCAAAGTAATACTATCAGCATCATCTTAGTCACTCTAAGCTATTTTGCTAATTTTCATTACCTACCACTGCAAAGAATAGAATTACAGTAAAGCTGGCTCACTTGGAGTTTTTATTCCCATAATTGCAAGGATTATAAGAATGGGAAAGAAACTCTACAGTTTTACTAGCCCATACGCTAGAAAGTGGGTTTATAATTTATGTCATCTGAATCTCATAGAAAAGATTATTGTAGCAATAAACTCTATGTCCTTCAGGGAACAACAGAAAATCATGTATTTTAAAATGAGAAAGATTGTGTTTTGGAGACTGTGAATAAATAATACTTGAGTAATATTTGGCTATTACTTTAAATATAATATGTTGTTTTTCTCTGTGCCTCTGAACAAAGTGGAGCAAAAGACTCCTGGCTTGGAAACTCTAAAAACGTTTTAAACAAGGGATTGACATTAGGAGACTTGTAGCGTCCTAGAATTGTTTTTGAGGAAATAATTGTGACTTATTTCAAACTATTTGCTACATCCTGGTATTTCAAATGTTACGATTTTTTCTACAAACATTTATTAAAATACTTTAAAACATAAACTGTATGAGAAGCAGCTTGAATAATGCATCCATCTTGAAACTTTATCAAGAATTTTTATGTGTGCATATTATATGTGTACATATATGTGTATGTGTTTTGTTGCTTTTGCTGATTTGAAGTAAAGCTGTAATAGACTAAGCCTGGAGCGAAAACGTAGTGACAGACTAGTTGTTACAGCAGTAGAAGCAATTTTGATATGATTTGGGGAAAGAGTCTTTGGAAGGATCTTTGTATCCCTACCCCCTCTAATCTTTTTGGAAGTGTTAGTTTGATTATTACCACTGGACAAGATGGGAACAGAGTATACCTTCCTGTTTATAATTTTCTAATGGAATTCTCAAATTCATACCATCTTTCTGAATTGATAGAGGAAGATTTCATACCAACATTAACTTTATAGCCTTCAGGGAGAAGAGCAACTTGCAGTTATTCATAACCACATTTCCAGATATTCTAAATAAGATGTATGCTGCAGATGGCTGAAGCTGTTTAGTGTCTCATACCCAGAGTATTCAGAACTTGCAGGGGCTCCAGCTATCAGAAAAGATGAGATGTGCTTTGACTGTCTCTGGACAGAGGATGAGCTATCTGAGGGCTAAGAGGATTGGAAGATGCAGCCTATCTTTTAGCTTTAGGAAATTCTTCAAGTAAAAGTTAAAACTCAAGTACAAAGCAAATATATACACACACACACACACACACACACCCCTATATATATGTTTGCACATATATGTGTGTATATATATATGTGTGGTGTTTTGGTTTATCAACTTTTTATTTGCATGTTATATATCAATTAAAAAGTTAAAAACAGAGGAATATTCACGAAGATACATTATTGTGAAACTGATGAAAAAAGAAGAGGAAAATCTTAATTCCAGGCTTCAAAGAGCAAATGCAGCAGAAAAGGACCGATTGCTTACAAAACAATAATCTTTAGACTGAGAGTAGACTTCACAGTAGCAATAATGGGAATGGGAACTAGAAGACAGGATAACGATATCTTCAAAGTGCTAAAAGTGATTGACTGATAATGTAGAATTATGTACCCAAACTTTGTAAGAACAAAGGCAAAGATACGATAGCAACAGATTTTAGAAAAGGAACTTCTGAAGGACACTTTACAGGAAGAAGAAAAATGAATCCAGAAGGAAGATAAAGCAATTTTAATTGCTTTTACTATTCTTCCCAATTTTCTGTTTCTTAATATCTTGCCTTAAATTTAAACCTCCCTTAATGTAAAGTAGTAAATATAGGGGAAAAGCACTTAAAGTATATGTTATCATTGTAATAGAAGACTTTTATTAAGAAAAACTTAAAGCTAATGCATAAATACGTATAGTTTATTCTTAATGTGATTGATGACAAGTATATCTCGGGATTTATCTTTCTGCTCTAAGTAACTACTGTCTGTCATTTCTAATACAGTATCAAGTGTCCAAGGAGTAGAGAGTATCTTGCAGGAGGTAGGGAGATATTGATTGACTTTAATAACAAATTATGCCAACCTGGACTGGCTGGAATCACATTAACTCATAATTTCTTTGAAATTATCCTGTATCAAGAAAAAAAAAAGTCTCTCACATGAGAATCATCTTCTTTTCCAGTACAAAGTCCTTATCGGTTTTATTCTGATAAAGCTCTGGACATTTATGTTTAAAGACTAGTATTCATGATTGCTTTCATACTTTTAAATTAAATTTTGGATAATAAGTAATTTTAAAATGTGAAAATTAGCTATACATGAATAGATACATGATCAGGAGGCCTTCAAGATTACCCAAGACTATATTAACTATGAATACTATTGAGTCATTAGCTTTCTGTGTTATATTTTGAAATCTACTGATTTTCCGAAGAAAGAAAATGCGGTAAGAGTGATTTGATTTATCCCCTTGGTAATTCCTAATATCTTTATGAAGTAATCTATCCCTCTTGTTAAAGAATATGGCCCTTAAAAGCTTTTGCTCTTTGACATTATGAGCTCATTACTAACGGAGGGAACTTCAGGAAAAGTCATTTTTAATGACAGCACTCAAATGGCTCTCAGGAATAATATATTAGTGGTAAGGCACTAATAATATATTAGTGGTAAGGTAAGTAAGAGTGGATTGCTGCCTCTCCTAACTTTCAGCAGAATCCTTCTGATTAGCACTTTTCCAGTCTCTCATTAAAGTTGATTCCACTTTTTCTGAGACAGGAGAATCACTTGAACCTGGGAGGCAAGGTTACAGTGAGCCAAGAGTGCACCACTGCACTCCAGCCTGGGTGACAGAGCAAAATTCCCTCTCAAAAAAAGACAAAAAAAAAAAAAAAAGATTCCAGTTTCTTAGTGTATTATTTCTAAAGATACATCTCCCGTATTCTAGTATGATTATCTTACTTTTCGGATATTATTGTTAGTGCAGGTGAATTTTGAAATGTTTACATATGACGTATTCATTCTTTTACTGAACCAGCATTTGATGAATGCCACACATGATTTTATGCCTATTTTAAATGTGAAATAAAAGAAAATAATGTTTCCAAAAAATCCTTATCCTCATAAAATGTAGTGCACCTGAGGGAGACTGAAATGTTAGCTAACCATTACAATCTCTAGGAGCACAATAAAGGATTGCTCACTTCTCTACAATGGGTGGAGGAGCTGAGATATCTGTCAGGGGAGAAAACAACTGAGCAGAGCCTCAGGAGCTACAGGAGTTCATAGTCCTGAGAAAAGGAGATTCTCATTCTAGGAAACCTTTAAGAGGATTTACTGGGTCAGCCTTTAACCAGGCTGTCAAAAGTGGGTAAAGATAACAATATGCTAAGGAGTTTATAATGTGTCTTGCAGGAGGTAAGGAGATATTGATGGACTTTAAGAAAGTGATTGAACAAATTAAATTCAGACTTAAAGAAATTATACTGGCTTTAATTTTAAGGAAATGTTATTTATACTGGGAGACATTGAGAATGTATTCCAATTTGTGAGCAAGGAGTAATGAGGAGCATAAACTCAGGTAGGGGCAGAGAGAAGAGGAATTAGTTCATTCATTCAAAAAGCATTTATTGAACCCCTGCTCTGCAGTTGTAATGACTGATGAAGCAACGGAGTAGACTCTAAGAAACTTGATGTAGCAAAATCAGCAGGACATCCTGACAAACTGAAAAAAGTTGGGAACAGAATGTAAGAATCTTTGGCTATGTCTCAGGATTCTGACTTGTTCAACTTGACTAGTTAAGTAGAGATCATATTAATGAAGACATCCAAACATCCCACATACATATGAAAAAATGCTCAACGTCACTGATCGTCAGAGAAATACAAATCAAACTACAATGAAATATAACCTCAGACTAGTCAAAAATGACTATTACTAAAATGTCAAAGGATAACAGATACTGGCAAAGCTGTGGAGAAAACAGAACACTTACACACTGATGGTAGGAATGTAAATTAGCCCCTGTGAAAAGCAGTTTGCAGACTTCTCAAAGGACTTAAAACAAAGCTACCAGCCAGTGAAGCAATTTCATTACTGGATATATACTCAAAGAAACATAAATTGTTCCACCAAAAAGATACATGCATGCATATTTTTTGCAGCACTGTTCACAATAGCAAAAACATAAAATCAACTGTGGTGCTCATTGACAGTGGGTTAGATAAAGAAAATGTGGTATATGTACACCATGGAATGTTATGCAGCCATAAAAAAGAACGGAATCATGTCCTTTGCAGCACCATGGACGCAGCTGGATGCCATTATCCTAAGCAAATTAATGCAGGAACAAAAAAAACAAATACTGCATGTTCTCACTTATAAGTGGGAGCTAAACACTGAGCACGTATGGATGTAAAGATGGGAACAATAGATACTGGTGACTGCTAGAGGCAGGTAGGAGGGAGAGATATGTGGGTTGAAAAATCGCCTATTCTGTACTATGTTCATTATCTGAGTGATGGGATCCATGCTCCAAACCGCAGCATCACGCAATTTACTCGTGTAACAAACCTGCACGTGTACTCCGAGTCTAAAATAAAAGTTGAAATTAAAAAAAAAAATGAAAATAGAGAATAGAAAAGGAGAGGACAGTTTTAGAGAACATAATGAATTGAAGTGCTGGTAGAGTGTTTGGTTGACAGGGTCTAGAAAACAGACTGAATAAATCTAACTCAGCAGAGTCCTAGAGTAGTGATGTAAGATTTGGACTCCTTCACATATATGGGTAGGTAAATTCAGAGGTATGAGAAATTCTTTAAGGAAAGGAGCAAAAAATGATAGGTGGAGAGAGTGAAACACGAATCCAGAATGTATGAAAAAGAAAAAAAATAGGAGATTGCAATGAAGGCCAGAAGTAGAAAGAAAACTAAAATGAGAGTCGTGTTTTGGAAAACAGAAAAATGGAATGACCTAGAATGTTAAATGCTGCCATTGTCAGGGAACGTAAACATTTTAAAAGGTTTGATAGATTTAGTAATAAAACATTTCCATCAGTATTTTATTCTTCTGAGTTTCCATAATGACTTTCGCTTTTGTTTTTGTTTTAAGGCTATTTATTTAAATGGTCTCAACTGGAATTTATGTTTAGCATTTATAGTCATTCATTCATGCAATCTCATTTAGTCATAAGGTTTAAGTTACTTCCCATATACTTGTGATACTCATATTACCTTTCTATATATGCCTTCCTTCCTGAGCTTCTGATACTTGCATCAGCCGTCAAGTAGACATTCCTGCTTGGTTGTCTCAATGACACCTGAAACCAAAATGCCCTAAATTGAGCTTTTATCCACAACCCACAAACCTATTGACAGCCTATTCATCTAAGCAAAAATTCTGACAAGATAGATTTTTCTATTGCCTCTTCATTTACTTACTTTTAATAACACTGTCTCAAATTTGCTCATTTCTCTTCATCGTCACATTTAGTTCCTAGTCAGTTCATGTAAATCTCTTGCCTTCATAGCTTAGTAAGACTAGCTGGTTGTCTGTTTTTTCTTGTTTTGAACCTGTGTAATCTATTCCATATATTGTGGTTAACGTGATCTTTCTAAAGTGAAGTGGAATCATTTTATCTTCCTCCTTAAAACCCTTCAACATCTCCTAATTGCTTTTGTGAAATAATTAATTCTTAAGATCACTACCAGCTTCTCTATAACAAAATTCAGCTTATGTCTGCCGCTTCATCTACCAGTATATTTCCTCTCATCCTCTATTATGCACCCACACTGAACTTACTGCAGGTCCTCAGACATTTCAAGCTTTTATTCATCTCTAGATTTTTTTATATGCCATTTCAATTGCCCCTTTACTAGGTTAGTTTCGTCAAAATAATTAGGCCTAATTTGGACAGCTCTTCTTTTGCAAGCCTCTTTTGATTAACCAAACCTTCTTGGGTAGAACTTAATTGTGCCAACACAGCACCTACTATATTAACTCACAGCATATCGGCAGCATTATAATGATCAGTTTTCTTAAATAACGCCCCAAGTAAAATGTAAATTCTGTAAGCAGGAAATATGTCTACTTTTCTCTCATTCTATCTCCAGCATCAATTACAGTATAGCAGTCTGCACTTAACATCCAGGGATATGTTCTAAGACCCTCTGTGCATGCCTGAAACCACAGATAGTACTGAACCCATTGCTGTCAGTTGGAACACGGCTTCCACCCAGAAATTTAATCACTTTTCCATCTTTACTAAGTATGAATATGTTGGACAAACTGAGGATTAATGTCCTGTTGGGATGAAGAGAGAATATGTGAAATTTTACCTGCTACTCAGAGCAGCACTCAGTTTAAAACTTACGAATTATTTCTGGAATTTTCCACTGAATATTTTCAGAGTGTATTTCTCCATGGGTAACAAATCATGAAAAGTAAAGCACTGATAAGGGAGGACCCCTGTAGTTGTCACATAACACTTGGCTTTATACACAAATATATTAAATAAATTAGGGAGATTTTTTATTTTATAAGTTGAAGAATAATAGATTAAGTGAGATCATTGCTAAAATGAGAATATAGTTGGATATATTTCCAGTACAGTTGGATATATTTCTCATGGCTAAAAAGGTGACCCTTTTCATAAGAAAGACAACAGATTGAGCAAGTAAATGGAAATGGAGATACATTTTTTATTTTCTAAAGCAGAAAAAGAATGACTTGAGTTGGTTTATGACGAATATCTATTTTCTTTCATAAAATTTACTGACAGCTGCGAATGAATAGCTTGAATGAAAAGTTTGATGTTAAAATATATGCAAAACTTGAGCCTTAAAGATAAAATTTCTATATGTTTTTAAATTATAATACTATTTCAATATAAATCAACATAATAATACATACTACTAAAAAAAGCCTATGTATAAAAGTTAATTACCCCTCCAAAGAATCATTTAAATATCATAATGCATCAATTATACCAATAAACAATATTATCAATAGTTACTATGTATATATTTTTAATAAAATTATGATACTTGGATGGTCTCTATACATAACTCTCAAAAAATGTGATATTCACAGATGTCAGTTTTCAGCATTTAATTCCTTTCTGAATTATCTGGAAAGTAATTCTTTATTCCTTTAGGCTTTGATATTTCTTTCTTGTTCTTAGAAAAGTCAGGAAAAGTTTATGGAATTTTGTGATTTCCGTATGTGTCTGAGAGTCCTTCATTCTTGTCAGGTTCCTCTTAATATCCATAGGGTATTCCAGTGAAATTGGAGACCTCAGTGGTTTTACTCCTTCAAGGCATCTTTCTCGTACAGTCATTTTGTAGATAAGTTACCTGGTTTTGCTCAAGTAAGGGTTCAATCTGATTTATTTAAAAGGCTTCCACTAATATCATAAAAGAAGATTTTTATTTTAGTATTTTTCTGCAATAACTTGGTACACTGTGGTTTTAGGAAAATTTTTAATTCATATTAAGTGGCCAAATACTCAAAATGTGTGGCGTTGAGTGTGGGTGGTTTAAAAAATACACAAAAAACACAGAACAAAAAAAATACAAAATAAACAAAGAAAATGAAACCAGTATCCCTTTAAAATGGATAAAAATTTTGCATTTTTAAACAAATAACAAAGAATGCTGTTTTCCCCCCAATTCAAAATTTAGTTTGATACTATGGACACAAATCTATTAATTATTACTCATGAAAATCTGACTGTGTCAAATTGATAAAAATTGGAAGTGGAGAATAAAATCTTATTCAAAGCTTTAAAAAATTTTTTTCTGAAATAGAATATCACAGTAGAATAGCTAGCTGGTTTCTTTAAACTGAAAATTATATAAAATGTGAAATTACATATTATCTTGACTTAAATTCTGTCTTCTTTGTCAAGATTTCTGGAAAATGTATTAGAATCATTTATACTGGTAGTCTTGGATCTCAACCAAGTGCAGAAGGACTGTTAGTATTCATTTCTGAACTGCGAAAATTGACCTTTATAACTAAAAATTAAGAAACTTTTGTTTGTTTAATGTTAAAATCAGCACAAAACACAGCATGTTTATGAGGTTAAATAAATGTTCAGAACACTGGACTACTTAATTCATCCTTCAGATTTAACTTTTAGCATCAGGTCTTTTATTATTAATGGAAATTTTGTGTATTTCTGTAAGCTCTACCTGCCTGGAGGCTAAACTTGTTGAATTAAGAGATCAAAATAAAATAAAGCTAATCTAAAATTAGAGGTATACAAATAAGTAAGAAGATCTGTTATGACTTCCCTAATTAGATAAAAACAGCTGTTTGTTGTAGTCAGTGGATTTCCCTACACCCAGAAAGTTGTGTAAAATATAGTTCCTGTAATTATTTGCCAACTTTTTATTCTAGTTAGAAAGAAAGGAATGCTTGCTAATAAATAATAAATGATTTTGCTTAAGAATGTATTTATTTTGCTGAAATAACTTATTTCATGCTTGTTATATGTTAAGTAATAGGTTACTTATTCAAAAGAACATTTTATGCATTACTATGTCTATTTTAGAGAAAGGAAACTAAATTTCATCAGGGCAGCAAGTGACTTCCCTGAAGTCACAGTGCTAATAATGAGAATGCTAAAATTCAAACCTCATTATGTCCCTCTCCAGAAATTAATTTCTTACCCAATAAACTGTGCTGTCTATATACAGAATAAAAGGACAGCAAGACATATAGAATAATGCCAGATGAATTATGCAGGTAGCAAATGTTAAAATATGTATTTATTCATGACATGCTAATGCATTTTAACTCAGCAAACATTCATGATGTTGTAAACACTTTGCAAATACCATTGCTGTGACAGTTACAAGACAGGTATAAATAGAGATTTCATGTAATTCAATCACTTCTCTACCTATTTTGGGATTAAATTATTAAAATTTGTTTTAAAATAATATATATATATAATTCACTTATTAACAAGCAAAAAGTTTTCATATTTATTATTGAATCACTGTTTGCTTACATAGTGATCATTTTTACATAGTTTAAATAACTTTATTGATGTATTTTATTTACCTTTATCCATTCATTTATTTCTATTTCCTCTATGCAGAATGCTGTATTAACTTTCTCCCCTTTATCTTATAGGATGACCCGTTTACTTTGACTTTAAATCAATATAGAAATAGAATATTGGATTTTAAAAGCAAATCAAGTTTCACTTGGACTAATCTCCTGATTTCAGATGAATTGTGTGTTAAGACATCAAAGAGATGGCAGTCTGTTGTTATATTTAAAGTGTTAATCACAGATCTGAAAAGTATTCAGTAAATATTCAACTAAGAATTGTTTTTAGATGAATTCTTTCAATTTATTTTTTCTTAGTGCTATCTATCAATGTAGGGATACACATTTCACAACTTCTTCAAAATAGTGTATTTTGTTGAAGCCATACGTTGAATAACAGCAGTGAATTGCTTCAGTTTAATAAATGATAAACCCCTCATAGTAGCTACCTTAAATAATTTTTTATTTAGCTTATCTCTCTATACATTTTCTGATTCATCCACATATTTTAATAATGGTAGATAATGCACTAGATTATAATGTAAGCACTGTCTGGGCATGGTGGCTCAGGCCTGTAATCCTAATGCTTTGGGAGGCTGATGTGGGAGAATCACATGAGCTCAGGAGTTCAAGACAAGCGTGGGCAACATAGGGAGACCTTGTCTCTATAAAAAAAAATCTTAAAAATTAGCCAGGCATGGTGGCGCATGCCTGTAGTCCCAGCTATTCAGGTGGCTGAGGTGGGAGGATCATTTAAGCCCAGCAGGTCAAGGCAGCAATGAGCTGTGATTGTGCCACTGCACTCTTTCAACCTGCAACAGAACAAGACCCTATCTCCAAATAAATAAATAAAATAAAATAATTTAAGCACTAACAAGAAAAGTAAAATGTTTCTATTGTAATAATGTAACAAACATTATGTGGTACCCAACAAATATTACTACTAAGATATGTTTCAGTTAACGTTTGTTCCAATCTTAGTATTATACAAATAGTGTATTAATTGAGACTAAGAAGTTGTTTCTTTTTAAAATAAAGCATATGTATTAAAGGCCTCTCAAGTGTTTGGTGGTAGAGACATGTGGAAATCTTTCCTAACTCTCAGTTCTATAATCCTTCTGCTACATTATTGTTTATATGAGATAATACTAATGGTAGATAAAGCCTATCCTCACCATGAGAGTCAATGTCAGTGTTACGTTTTTATCTTTCAGTATTCTGTAATAGTATCTCCAGCAAGGAGGTGGGTGGGAGACATACTTATTAGATATCAGAAGTGTCTTTCTGCTTTCCTCAATCTGAGACTTTATTCATATCCATTTATGCCAGGTCAAATTCATGGGTGTAGTAAATGTTTCAAACCAATTATCTCTGGGCAAGGGGAAGCCATGACTTGAAGTAGTTGCTAATTTCTGTGGTGTAGATACCTCCACTATGGCCAGTTTCAAGCTACGACATGGCACCACTCAACATGGAAGAGAAATCAAAATAGGCTCTCGTGAGTAAGTACAAGTCAACTCTAGCACGTCACTAATTACTCTATTTGATAGAGAATGCTCTCATTAAAGTATAATAATAATAAAAAAAGAATTCCTATGTGTTCTGTATTATCACTACCTTTACATTAGCCGATCACTTAACCATTTCATGTTTGATCGGTTCAGACTCCTCACCCCTGAGGAGGATCCCAGTGGTAAATAACGTGTTGGAGATTCGAGTGGCGCAATGAATAGTACTCTTCTTACATATTGAGTTGGGAACTAATTACGAAAATAGGAAAGCAAGCCAATGGGGCATGGAAATCACCTTTCTTTTTTATTACATATAAATTTATTTTTATTTTTATTTTTTTATTATACTTTAAGTTCTAGGCTACATGTGCACAACGTGCAGGTTTGTTACATATGTATACATGTGCCATATTGGTGTGCTGCATCCGTTAACTCGTCATTTACATTAGGTATATCTCCTAATGCTATCCCTCTCCCCTCCCCCCACCCCACAACAGGCCCCAGTGTCTGATGTTCCCCATCCTGTGTCCAAGTGTTCTCATTGTTCAATTCCCACCTATGAGTGAGAACACGTGGTGTTTGGTTTTCCGTCCTTGTGACAGTTTGCTCAGAATGATGGTTTCCAGCTTCATCCATGTCCCTACAAAGGACATGAACTCATCTTTTTTATGGCTGCATAGTATTCCATGGCATATACGTGTCACATTTTCTTAATCCAGTCTATCATTTTTGGACATTTGGGTTGGTTCCAAGTCTTTGCTATTGTGAATAGTGCCGCAATAAACATACGTGTGCATGTGTCTTTATAGCAGCATGATTTATAATCCTTTGGGTGTATACCCAGTAATGGGATGGCTGGGTCAAATGGTATTTCTAGTTCTAGATCCTTGAGGAATCGCCACACTGTCTTCCACAGTGGTTGAACTAGTTTACAGTCTCACCAACAGTGTAAAAATCTTCCTATTTCTCCACATCCTCTCCATCGCAGCCAATCCTGAGAGCCAAGTGTTTTGCCATCTCTCTCCTCCAAGCCTCTCTCTTAGAACAGCCCACTAGAGGCAAGCATTTTTCCACAGAGCAGACATAAGCAGATTTATTCCCACTAGAGAAACCAAAAAAAAAAAATCAAAACACATGTGAAAAATAACTTTGATGAATTTGTATGCCCACATGAGGAGCATACTATACTGTTACCCCACAAATGCAAAGATTCATTTTGCTTTCATAGGGAGAAGTAAATAAGGGATGAGGCAAGAAACTAACAATGCTTAAGGAAAACCTTCCTCATGGAAATCAAGGAATGGGGAAAAGACATTTTTTTCCCTAATATATCTGAGATAATACAAAGTATTTGACCTAGCACACAATAATCAGATATTTTACCTAGCATCAAGACTTAGAAACAGTTTCAAAATGCAAGTCATCACAAGTAACTGCAAACACCACTCTTTAGGCCTTTGCTTGAAGCATGCTCTTTAACTCAGATTGGACATTCTAGATATATGTGGCTGCATTATTTATATGAAAAGGAGCTCTTTGAGTCATGAAGCATCTCAATTTTACATATTAATAGTTAACATGATTTTCCAGATTGTTACGCTCATAAACCCATAGATTTCAGTTTTGTTTACCCTAAAAAAGTCCTAAATAGACCAGACACATCCCATTGAAAGCAT
This sequence comes from Homo sapiens, assembly GCF_000001405.40. NCBI lineage: Eukaryota > Metazoa > Chordata > Mammalia > Primates > Hominidae > Homo > Homo sapiens. The sequence goes on along the minus strand of NC_000008.11, from coordinate 14,629,685 downwards.
TCCATAGACAAGGATTCACCTTTGGACAAATACCATGGATGTGTTTGCCAGAGGTCTTTCATTTGCATGCATACATAGAGATTCCAACAAGTCACTTTCCAGTGGCTAAGAGGACAGTGGATGGCAAGCCTCTTGCTGACTATTTACTTCCCGATATCTTATGCACTTTTTATATCCCTCACAGAATCTAGACCACTACTGACTGTATAAAGGAGCTCCATAAATAAAGTTATTTTTGATGGATCTGTTTGTACATTATAAATGCAAAAATAATTATTTCAGTAATTGTATTCATTATTCTTTATTTTTACATTATTTAGATAATGTATTTTACATTAATCTTACCTACTAGTCACTAAAAACAATTTTTAAAAAGATCACCTATAACTTTTTGTGGGCATTAAGCTAAGTGATTTATTGATATGCAAATCACACGAAGTAAACTTTTAGTAACTCCATTCTACAGTGAAGTAATCAAAGTATTGGAAGGCTGCCATATATCTGGAACATGCACAACTGAAGATGGACTTCAGGTATGACTACCTGGATATAGGGGCTTCAATTTTCTGCAAAAATAAGAAATAAAATCTTACTGATAGATTAAATTTTTCCCCAAATCTGGTCAAATTCTTTTTCCTTCGTAGGGCAATTAAGGGAAATTAAACACAGCTGGTTCTTTTGCAAACATCCTGTGTTAAGTGAAAATAAGTTTGGAATTGATTACGACTCAGAAATGGGGTGAATCACAACAGCAAAAGTACAGATGGTTTTTATTCACCACCTATATTTTCAGTTTAGTGTGGCTAGGAATTATGAGAACCACACCAAAAGGTCCAGGCTGTGTAGCCAAGGAAAGATTTAAATATACTTTCTTATTTTAAGTCAGAAGTTTGCATATTTACAGGAAAGATAAATGACCTTGATGTGAAAGCAGACATTTTCAATTTTTAGGTTATGAGGAGATAACCAAAATGAAAAGCAGTTTGATATTAGACGAGTAAATATTGTTTTACATTGTCTTGTTTTGTCTCTTGTCATTTGCTAATAGAAATTTTGCCTAATCAGCTATTTGACAAGAGCTCCTCTCTTGCATTTGAAAACACAATAATTTCAATCCATGGAACCTATTGCTTCCTTAGTTTCATATTTGAGGACTTGAGGGTAGGCCTGGGTGTAGCAGGTTTGTCTTGAGATGATTACTTTTGCAAATTTTTTAAACAGTTTTTGGATCTAGCTTCTATTTCTAAGAAGCTTTCTCTAGCTGTGAGTTTTGTTGTGAGTTTCCTGACATCTAGGTGAAACAGGAGAACACAGTGCTCTAATCCGATTAGAGGGAGGTTATCAGCTGTAATATTTTCTTTCCTTATAGGTAAATTAAAATTTTAAAACTCAAGACAAATTTTAAGAGATGTATACAATATTTATTTTTTGTTCAAGCTTTTTCATGATCAAGATGGGATCTTTTTTAGATGACTTGCTGGAATTTGGTACAAACAGCAACCCCCACCTTGTTAATGGATTTTTTAAAAGGTTTTTTGTGAAATTAAATGGCCAATGTAGCATTAAACCTGCAATCTTAATTTCATGTTCTAGCATAACATTTAGGACTATTCTAACCAGCAAGATGAACTGTCTATGAGGCCTGCCTATGCTTAACTGGGAATATAATAGGGATAAACTGGGACATAGTGATGTGTGGGTCTAATATCAAAGATTCTTCACATCCTCCAAACATGTAGCTGAAGCTTAAAATTATACAATAAAGGAATTAATTTATATTAGTTTCTAGACATTGGCTTTTCCATTTAAACATGTTAATACTCCTGAAATAAGTCAATAGACATCCAGGTTAACGTCAGAGCCTTTCCTTTTCAGCTTCCTAAAATGGGACTTTGAGGTCAGCAGACGTATTCATGATTGCAGTCAAAAAAAAATGAAGTAATTCATTGAGACTGAATATGTTTTTCCTATACAGATCAGCTGGGTGTATGATGCGCCTAATCCAAGGACAATCATTCAGAAATTAAAATGAGAATATTTCATAGGAAAAAAAGTGCTGAAATCTAAAATTAGGAATAACCATATATTGCTAAAAATTATTTCTTGAATTATTACCACATAGTAGGAAAATGGTAAATAATGTTTTCAGGATCTTTCTATCTTATGATGCTAGAGGACTTTAAATATAAGACTTTGTGAGGATAGGACAGTGGAAAATCCACTGAAGTAAATAAAAACGTTGGAAGAAGAAACACAATGGATCAAAAATGATCCAGCATTGAAAATTAGGTATTAGATGTTCTCAACCTGGATTCTATATATGGATTTGAGGAGCTGATGATCCGTCCCTCCAAATTGAAGGCAAATTTCATATTTGTGTGTTAATATATCCCAAAGATATATTGTTATTTTACCCACAGAAGATGTACTACGTAAACTAAAGGTTCTGTGTGGTGTCTTCGTGTACAACCAAGATCAAAGTAGAAAGTTTATGTGCAACTTGCACACTTCCAAATAAATAATTTTCAAAGAATACATATTTTACTAGTAAATGTATTAACAATTTGTATCATAATGTAAATCAGTTATTTTCTAAATGGCATTACAAGATTATTGTCCAAATGTTAGGTTCAAGATTAAAGAGATTAGCTAAGAGAATGAGACCTATTATTTGGAAGGCAACTATCATGTGCTTTTTTTACCATGTGAGGTGAACATTATTTCATTTCATCTTTATAAGATCCTGAAGCAGTAAATCGTGCTATCTCAACCTACAGATAAATATGAGCCAGTTTATTAGTTTGCTACCATCACAAAGTACCACAAACTAAGTGGATTAAGCAATAGAATTGATGGTCTCTCAGTTCTGGTGACTAGAAATGTAAATTCAAGATATCAGCAGCCTTGGTTCCTTCTGAGGGCTGTGAGGAAGGATCTCTTTTATGCTTCTGCCTTAGAATTTGCTAGCAATTTTTCTGATTTTTTGGCTTGTGGTAGCATAAGCTCCAATCTTTTCATGATATTTTCCCTGTGTCTTCATCTTCATGTTCAAATTTCATCTTTTTATGAGGACACCAGTCAGTCATGTTGGAGTGGGGGCCCACCCTACTCCAGTGTGACCTAATTTTTACTTAAATATTTACACTTGCAATGACCCCATTTTCAAGTAAGTTCACAATCTGAAGAACTAGGGTTTAGAACTTCACCAGATGAATTTAGAAGAGACAAAGTTCAAATATTTGTTCAAAGAACAAATATTAAACCTAAGGCCAGTGTTTTCTAAAAGTAGGAGGAGAGAGAAAGTGGGAACTAAACAGTAAGAACACATGGATACAGGGAGGGGAACAACACACACAGGAGCCTGTTGAGGGGGTTGGGGGAGGGATAGCGTCAGGACAAATAGCTGATGTATGCGGGGCTTAATACCTAGGTGGTGGGTTGGTAGCTGCTGCAAACCACCATGACACACGTTTACCTATGTAACAAACCTGCCCATTGTGCACAAGTATCTTAGAACATAAAATAAAATAAAAATGATATAAAACAAAAAGACTGAGAGATAGCAAAGAAGATATAACTCTGTGTTATGTTAATCATTTGACATTTTGTGGACTCCCATTCAGCATTTTAGGATAAAAGCCACTATTCCTCATATGTCTGCCCTAGCGACAGTATGCGACTGCCCCTTTTTCTTTGCAAATGGAGTTTGGCCTTGGATGAAACTTTGCTGTCTAAATTAATTAGTAAATTAATTAATGTAATCCATTTTCCAAGTAGTCCAGATTATCATGAATTCTCATTTGACCTTTTAAGGTGATGGTAATTCTGCTGCTTTTAATGTCATCTGAAACTTACTGAACCAAGTTGTAATATATCTGTGTCACTAATGGGGTCGGAATATATAGTAAACTCCAGAATTCAAACTTGGGGGAGAATTCTTACACTGTTCACTTCTAGCCAGGTGTGCTGGCTCATGCCTTTAATCCCAGCACTTTGGGAGGCCAAGGTGGGAGAATTACTTAATTCCAGGAGTTCAAGACCAGCCTGGGAAACCTAGTGAGACCCTGTCTTCTACAAAATAAACAAAACAAAAACAACAACAACAACAAAACACTACTTTTGAAATAATGTTCAGATATTGATAAATGTCCTCTAGGTATGAAATCTCAGCTGTATTTTCCCTTCCATATAGTCTAGCCATGTAATGCTCATAGGAGAGTAAGGACACTATATATATGGTAAAACAATGTATCATAAAATATATATTCTGCAGTCTTGATCATAAGTTACGTGAGAATACAATTTGTCTGTTTTCCTTCTAAAAGGACTGTCGTTTGAACCAAGTGGCCACACAACAGAAGCTGCTTCTGAAAAATGTCACTAGATGATCCATGGAAAGAAAACAGTAATCAGTTATAAAGATTTCAAAATATGCAATTTAATGAAGATTTATTGTAGTATGTTAAAAAATGTTGTAATGCTACTAAAATAAGAATAACTTATCTTTAAGTTATGGAACACTGAACACAGTGAGCAAATTTCAATAGCAATGTATTATATTGCAACCACAGTATTATCAGTTTAACTGTCAAATAAGATGACAACAGGGGAAACATGTATGTTTATTAAGACACATATTAAAACAACTACCTTTAAATATTAAAAAAAATGACTAACAGAAGATTATACCTAAGAAATTCATGTGTGGTGAATGACCATATCTAAGGAAGAATAATTCTAAATATCAAGGACGATCTATACCTTTTGTGTACCCTCACTTTTAGAAAGATTGAGGTCAGAAATTTGGGGAGTGATAGCCCGGTGTGGTGGCTCATGCCTGTAATCCCAGCACTTTGGGAGGCTATGGCGGGTGGATCTCCTGAGGTCAGGAGTTCAAGAGCAGCCTGGCCAACATGGTGAAACCCCGTCTCTACTAAAAATACAAAAATTAGCTGGGTGTGGTGGCGCACATCTGTAGTGCCAGTTACTTGGGAGGCTGAGGTAGGAGAATTACTTGACCCCGGGAGGCGGAGGTTTCAGTGAGCCGAGATCACACAACTGCACTCCAGCCTGGGCGACAGAGCGAGACTCCGTCTCAAAAAAAAAAAAAAAAAAAAAAAAAAAAAAAAATAATAATAATAAAATTGGGGAGTGATATTTATGTTTCTTTACAATTCCTTTGCTCTTATGGACATGCATAGAAAAAATTATTGCGCTTCTTGGTATATACTGCAATGAACCCTATTAATAATCTTTATTCAGCTCTTCTATTGGTAAATGTATTTGAAAGTCGATGAATTTTACTTTCTAAACTGCCAAAAAATTTGATTTGATGATAACTAAGTTGGCCGAGGAAACATTAGAACCATAAAGACATCACTTTCTTGGCATTATAAACATTGTTATTGGGGGATTCCTAAGGCTTTCAACAGAGAGGGACCTTCAGTAGTTTATTTTGGCTTTGTTAAATCTTATATGATAAGCTATTAATGAAAATATTGCTGTACATGTGTCTGCATTGACCCTGCAGAAATTAAATATGCATATATTAAACTTGTTGAATCTTTTAAGGACGACAGAGGCAAATAGTATTGCGGCACATAGTAAATGTTTATTAAATAGATGTTGAATAAAATGCAAATAAAAGTGTGTTTTATCTGCTAGAAACTACGTTAGGACTTTATACCTGAATCAGTTAGGGTTTACGCTAAGCTACAGTCACAAAGCAACACAAAATTTCAGTGTCCTAACAAAATAGTTTATTTCTCCCTCACAGAAAAGTCCAGAAGTGGGTATTGAGTACAGTCCAGGTGGGCAAGAAGTTCTGTTCCAGAAGGCTAGTTAGAAGCAGGTTCTTTTCATCTTGTTGCACAGCTATGGTCTAAATTATTGACTTTCTACATGAGAAATCTGTCTCCCAGCACCCCGGTGACATCTCAACTGCAGGGAGGCGGAAAATGCATGAAAGACAAGCAGCTTCCTCAAGGAAAAGGGGTTAAAAATTATAAACATTACTTACTTTTGTTCATAACTCATTGGCCACTTGAAGCTACAAAGAAACCTGGAAAATGTAACCTCTAGCTAAGATCCTAATAAAAGGAAAGATTAATAATAGATTTTGAATAAAAATTTGAAGTCTCTGCCTACAAACACATGAAGTAATTTTTTCCCCTCCTGTCCTTTTCACGGGATATATTAATTTTTCCTATTATCCAGAAAAACAACAGAGGTCAGAGATGTCTGCCTCTTCTCTTGTTATGTGTTCAACAGCGGGATGCTTGCCTGCTTCTCTGGATGCTTTTTGCTTCACGCAAAGAGATGTTCCTTTTAATTACAAAAATATTCAAGTACTATTTATGCACTTTCTCTTTATTAATTTTGTTTTGGTGCAAACTAATGTGTTATGAATGTTGCTTTCCTGCTACTTAATTTGTTTTGCAAGCTTGATTTGAATTTCTAACTTTTCTTTGCATTGGTGTTATATTCATCTTGATTGGTTATTTCGTTATTATGCCTTCCGATGTATATGTGCTTTTAAATCTTAAAAAATACTTCATGGTAATACACTGATAAGTTCAAAGCGACTGAATTGTTTTCTAATTAGACCCATGAGGGTGGTGCTTGTTTTGGTATGTTCCTGGAGAGAATTCTGCCCTCCAAGGTATCAGAAAAGCCAGGACCTTTTCACTACAGACATGTTCTTTCATCTCTGCTACTGAAAATATCAATAGATACATGGAGTTTTGCTTGAACAAAGGAGGAGCTTTAGGGCATTACCTGCTTTTATTCAGTTCTCCACCCAGGTTACTGATATTAAAAAATGAATTGTCATTTTATTGAACTAACTATATTTTGAATTTCAAAAATAACTGGAAGCCACTAATAACATCAGTGAAATTTATTTTGATTTATTATTGGCACCCTTAGTCTTCTGGTTTCCTCATATACAATTTTTACACCATTCTCACTTAATGTCATTGTGTCATCCTTAATGTGTCACCCAAGGCACTTGCTAGCTTTGAGCAGTAACCTAAATTATTTTCTAATCACTTTTTAAGCTGGCTTCTAAAACATCTTGAATGAGTAAACATTTTATTTTCAAAACAAACAAGAATAAAAGAAGATGAAAAATCATAAACAGCAACACTCTTTCAGGTGACATCTAGTTCTTGTTTTTTGTTATTTAAATTTTGTGTAGTCTAATTAATTGGGCTTCTCTGGATGCTGGTAACACTCTCAGCTAGAGAATTGAAGAATATCACACTTGGAATCAGACCTCACATTTTTCAAACTCTGGGCCAGATTACAGGAAAAAGAAACAAATAAGAACATAGTCCTGACCCCAAGAAACTCATAGAAGGCTCCCATGTTGTGGCATCTAATGATCAGTTCTCAGTAGGTGTCTTGTCAGCCACATTTAACAGTTACTCACTACCTCCTCCTTGATACATTCTGTTTATTTGGCTGTCAGGACAACACATACTCAAGGTTTCCGTGCAAATTCATCAATTAATCAATGTAAGTTACCTTTCCTAGCTTCTCCCATGAACCTCTTCTCATTGGAGGGCTGAATCTTGGTACCTCTTCTTTTTTCTACCTATACAAACTTATCTGATGACCTCATCTAGTCTTAGGTCTCTAAACATCATTTATACAATAGTTTAGATCTTAAAATTTGTATCTGTAGAGCACAAATAGGCCATAGATATATAGACTTGGCGGGGACACAGAGCCAAACCATAAGTCTGTATGGTTTGGGGAGAGATCCTACTTATTCTATAGATATAAGTGTATGACAGAGGAGAGACTCCACTTAGTCTATAGACAGAAGTCTATATGATTTGGCTCTGCGTCCCCAACCAAATCTCAGGTCAAATTGTAATCCCAACTTGTCAGGGGAGAGAACTGGTGGGAGGTGATGGGATCATGGGAGTGGGTTTCCCCCATGCTGTCTTCCTGATACTGACTGAGTGTTTAAGAGATCTGCTGGTGTAAAAGTGTAGCACTTCCCCACTTCACTCTCTCTCAGTCTCTTGCTCTCCATTGTGAAGATGTATAAGCCTCCCCTTCACCTTCTGCCATGATTGTAATTTTCTTGAGGCGTTCCGGTCATGCTTCTTGTTAAGCATGCAGAACTGGGAGTCAATTAAACCTATTTTCTTTTTTTGTTTTGAGTTTGTATTTTATTTTATTTTATTTTTATTTTTTTTGTGCTTCCCAAGGAATCTTTATTTTTTATTTATTTTTTTATTATACTTTAAGTTCTATGGTACATGTGCACAACGTGCAGGTTTGTTACATATGTATACATGTGCCATGTTGGTGTGCTGCACCCGTTAACTTGTCATTTACATTAGGTATATCTCCTAATGCTATCCCTCCCCCCTCCCCCCACCCCACAACAGGCCCCAGTGTGTGATGTTCCCCTTCCTGTGTCCAAGTGTTCTCATTGTTCAATTCCCACCTATGAGTGAGAACATGCGGTTTTGGTTTTTTGTCCTTGTGATAGTTTGCTGAGAATGATGGTTTCCAGCTTCATCCATGTCCCTACAAAGGACATGAGCTCATCATTTTTATGGCTGCATAGTATTCCATGGTGTATATGTGCCACATTTTCTTAATCCAATCTATCATTGATGGACATTGGGGTTGGTTCCAAGTCTTTGCTATTGTCAATAGCGCTGCAATAAACATATGCATGCATGTGTCTTTACAGCAGCATGATTTATAATCCTTTGGGTATATACCCAGTAATGGGATGGCTGGGTCAAATGGTATTTCTAATTCTAGATCCTTGAGGAACCACCACACTGTCTTCCACAATGGTTCAACTAGTTTACAGTCCCACCAACAGTGTAAAAGTGTTCCTATTTCTCCACATCCTTTCCAGCACCTGTTGTTTCCTGACTTTTTAATGATCGCCGTTCTAACTGGTGTGAGATGGTATCTCATTGTGGTTTTGATTTGCATTTCTCTGATGGCAAGTGATGATGAGCATTTTTTCATGTGTCTGTTGGCTGCAGAAATGTCTTCTTTTGAGAAGTGTCTGTTCGTATCCTTTGCCCACTTGTTGATGGGGTTGTTTGTTTTTTCTCATAAATTTTTTTGAGTTCTTCGTAGATTCTGGATATTAGCCCTTTGTCAGATAAGTAGGTTGCAAAAATTTTCTCCCATTCTGTAGGTTGCCTGTTCACTCTGATGGTAGTTTCTTTTGCTGTGCAGAAGCTCTTTAGTTTAATTAGATCCCATTTGTCAATTTTGGCTTTTGTTGCCATTGCTTTTGGTGTTTTAGACATGAAGTCCTTCTCCATGCCTATGACCTGAATGGTATTGCCTAGGTTTTCTTCTAGGGTTTTTATGGTTTTAGGTCTAACATTTAAGTCTTTAATCCATCTTGAATTAATTTTTGTATAAGGTGTAAGGAAGGGATCCAGTTTCAGCTTTCTACATATGGCTAGCCAGTTTTCCCAGCACCATTTATTAAATAGGGAATCCTTTCCCCATTTCTTGTTTTTGTCAGGTTTGTCAAAGATCAGATGGTTGTAGATGTGTGGTATTATTTGGAGGGCTCTGTTCTGTTCCATTGGTCTATATCTCTGTTTTGGTACCAGTACCATGCTGTTTTGGTTACTGAAGCCTTGTAGTATAGTTTGAAGTCAGGTAGTGTGATGCCTCCCACTTTGTTCTTTTGGCTTAGGATTGTCTTGGCAATGCGGGCCCTTTTTTGGTTCCATATGAACTTTAAAGTAGTTTTTTCCAATTCTGTGAAGAAAGGCATTGGTAGCTTGATGGGATGGCATTGAATCTATAAATTACCTTGGGCAGTATGGCCATTTTCACGATATTGATTCTTCCTGTACATGAGCATGGAATGTGTTTCCATTTGTTTGTGTCCTCTTTTATTTCGTTGAGCGTGGTTTGTAGTTCTCCTTGAAAAGGTCCTTCAAATCCCTTGTAAGTTGGATTCCTAGGTATTTTATTCTCTTTGAAGCAATTGTGAATGGGAGTTCACTCATGATTTGGTTCTCTGTTTGTCTGCTCTTGGTGTATAAGAATGCCTGTCATTTTTGCTCATTGATTTTGTATCCTGAGACTTTGCTGAAGTTGCTTATCAGCTTAAGGAGATTTTGGGCTGAGACAGTGGGGTTTTCTAGATATACAGTCATGTCATCTGCAGACAGGGACAGTTTGACTTCTTCTTTTCCTAATTGAATACCCTTTATTTTTTTCCTCCTGCCTGATTGCCCTGGCCAGAACTTCCAACATTATGTTGAATAGGAGTGGTGAGAGAGGGCATCCGTGTCTTGTGCCAGTTTTCAAAGGGAATGCTTCCAGTTTTTGCCCATTCAGTATGATATTGGCTGTGGGTTTGTCATAGATAGCTCTTATTATTTTGAGATACATCCCATCAATACCTAATTTATTGAGAGTTTTTAGCATGAAGGTTGTTGAATTTTGTCAAAGGCCTTTTCTGCATCTATTGAGATAATCATGTGCTTTTTGTCTTTGATTCTGTTTATATGCTGGATTACGTTTATTGATTTGCATATGTTGAACCAGCCTTGCATCCCAGGGATTTCTTTATAAATTACTCAGTGTCAGGTAGTTCTTTATAACGGTGTGAAAATGGACTAATATATAGAGTATACCAACATATTGCCCTGTTGATCTCCAGGTTCATGTGTTCACTTGGACATCTAAAAGAGAAAACTAGATTTCTTCGATTTTCCATAAAACATGTTCTCTTCCTATTTTCTGCAGCTCAACTGCTTTTCCACCTCTCCTTACTTTCTTGTTAATTTGCTTAGGCCAAATATTGGTGTTATCTTTTTCTCTTTTTCTGCTTACTCCCCATCGGAATTGTTAAGGAATGCTTTCAGTCCATCTTAAAATTATTACATATACTCTGTTCATTTCACATGACCTCGGTGGCTATTACCCTTCATGAGCACCCATCATTTGTTTCCTGAATTACTTTAACAGACTCTTATTTATTCTTCCTACACAAAACTTCCTACATAAAGAGTTATCCCGCTCTTTAAAATCCTTCATTGACTCTACTTTTTACTGAATAAAAGATAAAGTCTTTTGAATGAGTACAAAACACTGCATAGGCTGCCTGACCTATTTCCACTCTTGTTACTTTTCTGTATTTCTCTAGTATTGCCTCCCTGTTTTCATCACAATCAATCTGGTCATCTTTGCTGCCCTTGGAATATGCCAGGATTGTTTCTGCCTTAGGACCTCTATACTGGACTTTCTGGCTACTGGAATGTTTTTGCTTCAAATATCTTCATGGACTCCTTTGAGTCCCAGTTCTAATTCCGTTCTTTCTACAGGGCTTGCCTTGAGTAAACTGTTTTAAAATGCAATGGGCTCTATTCAACCCCTATCTCCCAAATTAATTCTGCTCTATTTCTTTCCTCCAAAGACCTTGTATAACATACCATATCATTTACCTTTTAATTATGGTTGTTATGTCTTTCGTTATAAAATATAAGCTTCACCAAAGTAGATATTTTTGGTTATTTTATTGTCAAGTTTTTCTAAGTATCTAGAATAGTGCATGGCACATAGTTTTGCTCCATAAATATCTGTTGGATATATGAAAAGGCATGAAGTTAGCTTTTCATCTCTCATTTAATAGACTATTTCCATTTTTCTCAGAAAAATGGAAACTCAAAGAGGTCTCTGGACTTCATGACTTTTAGTTGTAACAGGGAAATAATATCTATTTTATCTGCCTCTTAACGTATTGTGATAGTGAAATAAATCCACATCTGTGACTGTAATTTTTCCATTTTAAAGGCACACACACACACACACACACACACATAAACACACAAAAAATTATAAAAACTTACTTTTCCATCTTCTTCAACATGCACTATCTTTCCCAACCACAGAGGGATTTATAATATTCCCACCCTACTTTATTTCCATGTCTATTGTTTTCCTATCTCTTTGCATTTCAGTCTAGCTAAATACTACTCTTTCTTGACGTCTCAGCTAAAGCCATTGCCCTAACTGGACATTTTCCCTGGATTACCACTCCACATTTAGTTCTCTGTTCTCTGAATTTCAAGTGTATTTATGGTTAGGACTGTGCAAAGCTTAGAAACAAGAAGCCCTGGGTTTTTGCCAAAATACATTTCTGAAGACGGCATTATAAATCTCAACATTTTAAGGCAGATAAAATTTTCTGACCAAGGACATAGCTTAAATAAATCATAGCTATGACTAATGAGACATAATAAAAGTACAGATAAATGAAACGTGATAATTTTGAACAGTAAAATAATCCTCTAAACATTATAAAATGGCATAAAGGCAGTGTACATATTTATGTTCCCAGGGACCCTAATGTTGCACATATTATCAAATCACACATGTAAGTTCAATTTTGTTGTATCATACATTTGATTTGAAAAAATAAATATGAATATGCTAAGTATAAACACATATGTTGACAATAATTAATACTTACTTTTACTTTCTTTGCCTTCAGAAATGCTTTAGGGAACAAAATTGAAGACCATCAAGGGAAGCTTAAACTGATTCTTTCTTTCTCTCAAAATTTAGTAGTAATAACAATTATCCTATATTTCATAGTATTGTGTTTTATATTAAGATTTTTTTCTCTTCCTAATATCTGAATTACCCCTTTTTTCTTACTACAAATACATCAAATTATATTAAAGGAATGTGAAAACTCAGAAAAGAAATGGCTATTTTATATAGCTGGGAAATAGCAGAGAACAACCTAAAGGTAATTTTGCTGTAACTTTCCAACTAAATTTTTAAGTTCCTTAAGGACAATGCTGAGGACATGTAAAAATAGACAAAGATAAGGCTTATGGAGATCTTAAATTGCTAACAATAAAATTTGAATTTTACTATTTTGGGTGTTTTACAGTGGCATTTATTTGTTATTTTCAAGGTTTTAAATTGGGATCTGGTTATATCTAGTCTAAATTAAACGTGTCCTGAAAAACAATCAGTTGACTAACATACTCAATTTTCCGGTCTCTCTTTTTAAATAAGCTCAGTGCCTGAATTCTCCCTCACCAAGTTTATTTATAAAGAGAAACTGGAGAACACCTGGACAGGGATGTTTTAGGTAGTTTTTATGAATCATATAAAATTTACATTTGATGATTTTCTGTCATGGCTAACACTAATTTATATAGTTTTTTAGGTTAAAAAATAACATTTTTTTACTGTGTAAACCTACTAGTAAAAATACAAAAATAGAGTAATTATAGGCTTTCGGGAAGCTTAAGCTTTAGAGAACCAAAGTAGAGAAAATTTTACATCATTTTTATATTTAGTGTATTGTAATGGTGATCATCTGTGCATCATCAGTCTAGTTCAGGGTTTTTCTTTTTTTCTTTTTTTTTTTTGAGACAGAGTCTCGCTCTGTGGCCCAGGTTGGAGTGCAGTGATGCGATCTCCACTCACTGCAAGTTCCGCCTCCTGGGTTCACGCCATTCTCCTGCCTCAGCCTCCCGAGTAGCTGGGACTAGAGGCGCCCGCTCCCACGCCCGGCTAAATTTTGTATTTTTTAGTAGAGATGAGGTTTCACTGTGTTAGCCAGGATGGTCTTGATCTCTTGACCTCGTGATCTGCCCGCCTCAGCCTCCCAAAGTGCTGGGATTACAGGCCTGAGCCACTGCGCCCAGCCCAGGGTTTTCCATACTACAATCATGACCCATTAGTGAGTTACTTAATCCATGAGCTGGACTGTGGCCAGAACTTATTCTAAGTGTAATAGAGTAAAGTGGAATGAGATAGGAGAGAATAGGCCCAGGATAGAATTGAATGGGATGAAATGAAACAGAATTGACACTTGCACATGTAATAGTTCAATATTTATACATATATGTAAATGTTCTGTGTTGCGAGGTACAGAGTATTTCTTACTCTAGGTTGTGATAAAACATATTTGAAACAGTACTCAAGCTTGTTATAACTATTGCTTTATTTAAGGACATTTCCCCAAAACTTAATACTTACAATTTTGTCTGACAAAGACCCAGGTAGCATACCTCTTACTGGGTTCTTCCGGGGTGATGTTTAAAATCTTTTAGGATCCATCATCTGTGAAAGAAATGTACAAAGTTTTCAGTGTATTTTTTCTTACTATATTCTTGATACTTGTTAAAAGAAAAACTTTAGACAAATTAAATTTAGCACAGTTTATTTGAGCAAAGAACTATTTATGAATCAGGCAGTACTCAGAAGCAGAAGGGGTTCAGAGAGCTCCACCCAGCAGTGAGAGCAGTGAGCTTTTATGGGCCAGATACAGGAGCACAGAAGAGAAATCACCTGAGTGGCTACAGCTGGGCATCTCCCTTATTTGGGGCTGGTGTGATGAGTGCATTGCTTGCAACTGGCTGAAATCTGGCTGTTTGCTATATTCTTAGTTTGAACTAAACTATGTTAGATTGCAGTTTGTTATGTAGGAATTCAAAGTACAGAGTCAACAGGTTAAGGGCCTCCTGCTTATTTAATGTAACAGTTTATGGGAGAAAGTGTCCAAATGTAGTACAGTCATAATGTTTCTCCTTTACTGTCATAATTATGTCTACTATAAATGTTTTTTACATTGTGTTAAACTTTCACAAAATTCACTTTTAATCTTTTTGTAACAAGCTTTCATATATATATATACACACACACACACATATATACACACACATATGTGTGTACATGTGTATATATAAAATGATATGTATTTATCACTATATATAAAGTGATAAAATATACATATAAAGTGATAAAACATGTCATGCTTGGGTCATTTTACATTTTAGTCATCAACATTACATATAATTTGGTTTTTATTCAAATATTTTATTATTCATTTTTCTTAGTTTATTAGATGCTCTGGGCTTCAAATGTATCCCCCACCACTTATGTTAACTCTCTTCACTTATCAAAAACTACTTATTAGTCTCTTGTTCTCTTTTATCTACACATTTTCCCTCTGTAGTCATCTTCTTTTAAAAAATTTTCTAACTCCAACTATGAACTGTTGGTAGTACCAACTCAAAAATGAAGTAGAATCAAAGGTGGTGAGACAAATTTGCAGTTTGAATTTTGATGGTTCAAGCTACTATTCACAAAAGGAGAGTATTAAATAGTCTTTAATAGATATATCTTGAAAGATAAAAGGCTACAAATATTTTTCTGAATAAAATGATATAGAGATAAATAGAAAAATACAATCATGTGTACCCTGTTAATGCATATACAGAACTTTGTTCATGCTAGAAATTTTAGTTTACATTTTTTTATTCTGTATTGGGAGGGTGAGATGTGTAAATTTATAGGCGGTTGATATGGGAATTATATTCATTACTGTAATTATATGGAAAAATATGTTCTTCAATTTTTATTTCTTATATTTTGCTGTGCTGTTTAAAAATCCAGTAGTGTTTCAAGTTGGTTTGGAGATTTAATTCATTTTCGGTTCTAAAGGTTCAAGTTTATCTCATTAGTTTCTTGACAACACATTTAATTTAGCAACGGACATTAGGGAAATTGTTCTGGATGACATAATTTAGTGTAATGTAATCTGAAGGATTAAATCTAGTGTTTGTTACTTAACTCACAGTATGCTTTCAAATGAGTGTGAGCGGCCTGTACTCACTGAAGGCAGTGCCTAAACTGACATAGTTTAAACTGTCAATGAATTTAATTTCTAAAAAAATCAATCTGTCATGTCATCTATAAATCACTCAATTGTTTCATGGCAAGATAACGTCTGCTAGATTTTGATTTTTTTTTGTACTTTTTACTGGTTTTGATAACCTCAATTGACAGCATGTAGATAATGTGAATTGGTTGCCATTTCAGTCTCAATTTCATTCCTTGAAAAGAGTGGCCAACTTCATTAAACCCCTGTTTAATCCTCACATCTTTCCTGTAACCCTCTCCATAATTCTTATGTCTAAATCTTTGGAATTTGCAGATGATTCCAGTATATTAAAAATGATGCAATTATTTTAACAGTAGTTTGCATATCATTTACATGATTTAATGGCGTATACCCCTGCAAATTCTGCATGCTCTGAAATTTAGAAGGATTTGTTTTTAATGATTGAGCATAGGAAGAAAGAATTTATCAGCTCTTGTTATACAAGTAGGAAACAAAATACTATTTGCAAGAGTATATCACCTAGATGTTGTTATACAATACATTTCAGTTCAAGTTACCTGAATTTCATGGTCCCAAAAGAGCATGATTTATAGATTTTATCTAAGAGACAATATTATACTAGGGTATTTTGCTATTTCTTTTGTTAATTATCCACCTAAAAATGGTTCCAATCGTACGTTCATAAACTTACTAGTTTCCTTCAGTTCAATAAAATCAAAATAATAGGTGACATTATGTTATGAAATATATTTTCAGGTTGGAATAGCAAAGTACATTACATCATAAACTTTCATACTATTTAAAACATTATAAAAATTATGTTGTGACCTCTCATTTAGGTCCTCCAAGGCTCTATGGAGGGCCCCCACTCAGCATGCACCCTCCCAGCAGGTTCACTCTCCCTGAGTGCCAGGCAGGGTGCATGTGGGGTGCAGGGCACAGGGTGCAGCCTCCCTCTTGTGCTCTCCTATCCCTATGATTAAGTTCTTTCCCCAGACCAGGAGGCTTTTTTGTCCTCTTTAAAAAATCTGCTTTTTCCTGGGCATGGTGGCTCACGCCTGTAATCCCAGCACTTTGGGAGGCCGAGGCAAGTGGATAGCCTGAGCTCAGGAGTTCGAGGCTACCCTGGGCAACATGGTGAAACCCCGTATCTACTAAAATACAAAAAATTAGCTGGGTGTGATGGCAGGTTCTTGTAATCCCAGCAACTTGAGCAGTGAGGCAGGAGAATCATTTGAGCTTGGGAGGTGGAGGTTGCAATGAGCAGAGATCCTGCCACTGCCTTCCAGCTTGGGCTACAGAGTGAGAGTCTTTTAAAAAAACAAAACAAAACAAAACAAAACAAAAAAACAAAAAAACACAACTCCTTCCTGTTATCTTTGAAGCAGAAACCTGTCCTCATAAAAATATCTGAATTCTTTCAATTCTATGGCCTTTGGGGGAAAATAATCTAGGTTCTGACTAATCCAAGCTTTGTGGCTATAATTCCATAAACCTCTGTATTAGTCCATTCTCACAGTGCTATAAAGAACTTCCCTGAGTCTGGGTAAGTTATAAAGGGAAGAAACTTAATTGACTCACACTTCCTTATGGCTGAGGAAACCACAGGAAACTTACAATCACGGCAGAAGGTGAAGGGGAAGCAAACACCTTTTTCATAAGGGAGCCGGAGAATGAGAGGACAGAGGGAAATGCCAAACACTTGTAAAGCATCAGATCTCATGAGAACTCACTCACTATCATGAGAACAGCATGGAGGAGACTGACCCCATGATCCAATCACCTGGCAACAGTTCCCTCCCTCAACACATGGGGATTACAATTAGAGATGAGATTTGGGTGGGGACACAGAGCCAAACCATATCAACACCTTTTCCCATAATAGGAAAAAATAAAAAAGAAAAGCCTCACTTTTGCATAGAAAGACATACGTTTTCATAGCTAATGTTTTTCAAAATCCAAATTTGAAGGACAAATGCTAAATAATTTTTTAATGGCTTATTAATGCCTCCCTTAAAGAAATAGATGCCTTGTCCTAGAGCAATAAGAATTACTAAGAATTTTTAAGACATAATATTTACATATCATATTTACCTGTATTTTACACAGTGCAAATAGCATATGTACTGCAATGGCTCATGAGTGACAAGCTTTTGCATCAAAACCATTTTTTTCTGCCCATTTAATGACTACATAGCAATCTATTGTGTTTACATACTGTATTTTATTAGTCAGTCTCGGTAATATAAATTTGTATTGTTTCCAGTCTTTTGTGGCATAGGTCACATTAGGATTTCAACTACATATGGAAATATTTCTTTATGAAAAATCTTGCACAAATTTTGCTGCAATTTTTTCTATATTGGAGGCTTATGGCTTCTGTCAAGAAAATAATGTTCCATTTGCATTTGAAGGAATGTTACACTGAAAATGTTTTCCAGCAAAGGACAAAATAAATCACTCTAAATTACTGGAGGACTCTTCATTAATTCATGTTAATTTTATTTATGTATTACTGATTATTGATTTGTATAACTTTCAGCACTGAGACCGATAAAATGGAATTTAAAGCCACTCTGATACATCTTTATTCCCAGAAACAATTTTTAGAAAGCCATAATCTCTAAAAGTGTCATTTTCCCCTAGAAACAATTCCACAATCTATTTCATACATTCACACACACACACATAGACCCACATATTCATTTACTCTCTCCATTTGAGATAGTGAAGATTATTTCTCAAAGGGAATAAAAATGATAGGCATATTAATGGATTAAATATAAAGATATTTGAAAAGGATAGAGGAAAGACTCAGTGTTGAGGAAGAGCAAAGTAAGTATCACTTTTGAGTCACAGATTGTAAAATGAGAAATATATTCATAAAGAAAAGAAAATAGACATTTTAGATAATTCTAATTCATGAATCTCTATCCAGCTGATTATTATTATTTTACTATCTTCCAATAAAAGATTTCTTTCTTGATTCTTGCTTTTTTAATTATGAAAAAATAAATTTAAGTCAAGTAGCTGAGCCTATCAAAGAAAACAGGAAATGTAATTTTTAAAAGGAAGAATTAATATGAAGGTTTGGAAGCATGTGGTAAAAACTATTGGGTTACAATTCCATAAATATTATCTGAATATTTGACTTTCCGTATCTTCCATTCCATTCTTTAGCTTTACAATTCAATTCTGAAGATGAAGTATCTGTGTGAACACTCAACTATCCTATTAATTCCTTCACGTTTGAGCCTTCCCTCTCCTTGAGGCAGTGTCTGTGTGTTATGTCTTACAACAGATGCAACTTATTTTTTTCATTTTATGAAACATATTTTCTGCCTTATATCATCATCACTTCTATGCACCCTGTAGGGGAAGCAAAATTTTATCTCTGTCCTCTTAGTGTGCAAGCTGACTCTGAGAATTAAGATGACATCAGATAGATTAATAGGAGAAAAGCACATACATTTAAGATGAGTTTTATGTGACACAAGAGCCCTCATAAAGAGGGTTCTTGAGACCCAAATAAATGACAGAATCTACATGCTTTTGAGTTAGGTTAAACTAAAGGAGGCAATTGAGGAAATGTAAGTTATATGTGGAAGCTTAAAGAAGAAGAATTATTCTAAGAAAGTCTGTGCAGAATCCTCTCAGTTCTGACTCTCCATCAAAGAATGATTCATTTGTCTTGTAGAGGGAGGGCATCTTTCACATGGGAGTTTATCTCCTGTTTTCAGGGAGAAAAGGGGGAGACTCAAATGCCCTTCTTACATCTACTGTTTCTCAAGTGTCTTTAGGTCAAGGTGATTCTTGTAACAATGTAATATAGGTTGGGGCCACTTATTCTGCCATCCTGCAAATTTACTCCCCACTTAAAAGACTGGTCTCTGCAAAGTAGCTAGAAATTTGCCTCCCCAAAGATTTCCAGCAGGGCCCAGGTCATTGACTTAAATTTTTTAAACCCCCAATTAATATCAATTGATTTAAATAAGATCGTAGCAGTTGAAATCTCCCTCGTGAACAGACTTGTAACAAAAATATGAATGTATTCAATTTATTTATTTTTGTTTAATTTGAGCTTATTTACTGACTCATTAAACAAATTAGGGTGCTCAAAGCTGTCATACTCACTTGTAAAAGAATAAGAAGGTCATAGATAACTCTGCTTCACATTAGCCTGCTGTTTTTTTTTCTCCTTCTGAATAGTTTCTCTATTGTGCTACTTAAAGAGAAATGAGACATGTATACAAACCACTGCTCTTTTAGAAAGCACCTTTATCAGCTCAGGTACCAAATTTAGCTCTGGCTTCAGTTCTGGGTACCCAGAGGACTGGAGCCTGGCATCTCCTTCCCTCTCCCTTGGTCCCCTCCAGCTTTTAGAATGATGTGTCAAAAATGTTGATTTTCAAAGTGTTGAATATCATGACAGCATTTTTATCATGTGTCTGAACCTCATATAGTGTTGATAAATTGAGGATAAAATTTACCTCTATCTTCAGTTAAATTTTTCATGCAGTACTTTTCATCATGCCAGAAGGTCTAATTTAATTAAGACTTTTTTTCAAGAAATTATATTACTTGCCTAACATCTTCCTTTCAAGAATCTCAAAGTGACTTATAGACATCTGGTGACAGATAGATTACTTGGAAACTTTTGTTTGGTTCTGTTCCAAGGTAATTTTCCACAGAGAAACTAATTTATTTCATTGTAATACCAGCATTGACGTTATATAATAACGAATCAAAGAATTAATAAGGAAATAAATAAACCAAACATAACCCCAGGCAAAAATTTCATTTATTTGTAAGTAATAATACAATTTTGTTATGTTATTACAATCTCAAAGGGAATCTATGTTTAGCTAAAGACAACCATTGAGATCTTGACATTATCTTCCCTAAAAAAAGATGCATAATTAACTAAAAGGTTTAAAAATAGTTCATCATAAAAACAAATATTTGATTGCTTTTTTCTGCAAAACACATGAAAGAGCAGTGAAGACACTCTGCAACATAATAATAAATTTTAAAGGTAGAATTAATTATTCTGGTTTTTTTCGTATTCTTCTATCACCAGAGTCAAATTTTATCTAAATTGTCCTAAGAAGCCTATTATTACATAAGAATATTAATGATCTTAGAAAAAGTTGGACCTTTTTTTTGTCATTTTTTTTCAAAAGCTTAAAATGATACACTTGCCGATATGGTTCGAATATTTGTCCCCTCCAAATCTCACGTTGAAATGTGATCTCCAGTGTTGGACGTGGGGCCTGGTAGAATGTGTATGGGCCGTGGGGGTGGATCCCCCATACCAAGCCATTTATGAGGAATCCACCCCCATGACCCAAACAGCTTCCACCAGCCCACCAAATGTATGTCGATGACCATTGAGAAAGACAACAGACTAAATATAGTTTTATTTAATTCTTAGTAGTTCTTGCCTTCCCCACGGTAATGAGTGAGTTCTTACTCCCTCAGTTGACAAGACAGCTGGTTGTTTAAAGGAGCTTGGCATCTCCTCCTCTCTCTCTCACTCTCTCTCTTGCCATATGACACATCTGCCCCCCGCCTCCCCGCCCCTTTGCCATGAGTAAAATATCCTGTGGCCTCTCCAGAAGCTGAGCATATGCTGGTACCATGCTTGTGCAGCCTGCAGAACGGTGAGCCAAAGAAACCTCTTTTCTTTATAAATTACCCAGCCTCAAGTAATTCAAAACAAACAAATACACTTGTATTTACCACACTTACAAAAAAAAAAGCCTCAAATAAAGCACTGTAAGTTGAATGAATTTGTGGAAAGCTGTATTCACATGTTATTTTCATTCCACCTTATGGAGAGTTTTGGCGCTTCATTTTTAAAAAGCAGTCCATTAGTGCCTTTTTATTGTAATTATCTTTTTGTTCTGGTTGTATTGTTGTGCTGGAAGTCATCAAGGGACATAGGAGTAAGGATATGCTTTTCCTGCTGACAGTTAACAGTGACATTGTAATCTTACTTCTCATTCTGAAAATCATGTAATCTTTCTATTATTCATTAGAAACTTTCAAATAGCTGGTTTTTGTCTTTTACAGCAGTAACAATTACTCCAAGTGGCCTGAACATATTTTTACTGTAATTTTAAAAATTGTTTTTGAGTAGTACTCTAACACCTTCTTCTAACACTGTGCAAATATATTAATGAGATTACACTGGGCACATAGGTGTAGATCATATATGTGCTTCCATCTGTCAGTGTTAACATAATTATCCAGAGGAGCTGAAAACCTTGTTCCTCTGGATACTTTTAACTTTATATTTATCTTTTCTTGATTGTGTAGATCCCACGAGTTGAGATCAATACTACTTTCTATCTCTATTTTATAATTGTCACTACCCTGCACATTTTGCTCGCACTCACAGTCTAGACAGTTAATTGAAATTGTTGTCAATTTGGGCAGCATTCAAGAGTGCATGTGGTTTATAGCTGCTGCCAAATTTTCCTGCATAAATGTTATGAAGAATCAATGTAACATATTGGAAGGGAAATGATGTCTGTTTGAAAATAGATTATTTTAACTCAGGATATGAACTAGTATTGAATTACCTAATTAATTGGATTAATAGTATAGGGCATGAAATCCATCAGACACTTTAGAAAAGAGATTCATAAAAGTTATATTTAAGCAGTGATGATCGTAATTCAGTGATAAAAATATTAATATTGGAAATGTACAATCTGAAGGATAATTAACAATTTGGCAAAGAAAGAAGGCCAAATATATGGGGATGACCATTGGGAAACAAAAGACTACATTTTATTTAATTTTCAGTATATGTCTGTTGTTTTGTATGTATGTATAAATTTATGGTTTTGTTCAATCTTCAGAGTAAGTTCACAAGATAAAAGTTATTATCCCCATTTTACAGATGAAAAAACTGAGGACCAGGCACAGTCAATGAATAGATGAGCCATTGTTTAAATCCAGAGCTGTCGGATCAGTGATTTTCTCATTTCAGTATGCTGCCTGATTATATGATGAATATGAAAACAGTATCATGTACTAGTAGAAGCAGTAACATTAGCCTCACACAGTGAACTATATCCTGGATTTTCCACTTATTGATCAATTTACCTCATATCTCTAATACTTAATAGTCTTAACTGTAAAAACTTGACATAAAGAATCAAACAAAAAGCCACTATTATCACTAAAGATAGCAATAACAGCAACAAAAAATAAACCACATCATAGCATTTCTTCTTATTCATTCCTCCATAAAAAGACATTTAACACTAACCATGTGCCAGGGATTTTGCTGTATACTTCATGTACTGTGGTGAACAAAATACCTGTGGACTTTTCATTTCAGAATGTTAGTCTAGTAAGGGAAAACAGTAAACCTATTTAATTGCAGTTTCTCAAAGAATGATATGACAAATGAAACAGGCTACTATGATGGGGGGAAGGGACAAAGGGACTGATTTGGTTGATATAGTCATATGATTCCTGCCATTTAGGTGGATACCAGAAGACGGAGAGTAATGAGAAGAAGCCAGAATGCTGAGAAGTTCTCAACAACAACTTAATACATAGTGAGAATTGCACTAAGAGTTTTGATCTTGCACCAAGATCAAGTTTTGTGTTGTTGAGGAACTAATTACAAAGCCATTGTGGCTAGAACTTGTGGTATTGAGTTGAGGAGGTTTAGGAACCAAATAAGGAGTGTAACAGAAAGCTATTAGTGAATATGAAGCAAGAAAGTGGCATAATCATATATACATGTATGTTAAAGGCAAATCAAATTATCTGTAAGATAAGGAATGGATTGGAGGTCATGGGGCAATATGTACAAGAGGGAGGAGATGGCTAATAAAAAGACTATTTTAGCATTAGTGAAGTCATGGCTATACATTGTTCCTCGGTGGTAATAGAAAAGTTGGAGAAATATGGATATATTAGTGTTATATTTTAAAGGTGTAATCGGCAAGACTTATAGATAAATTAGATATGGTGCTTACATAGAGAAAGGTATACAGAATGATTATCAGTTTTTGGCATATTATTAGAGAGTTTATAGAAACTGCCATTATTTAATTATATATAAAGGGAATAAAATATCATAGAACTAGGAGGCAACAGATACTTCATCTTTTCATTCCAGCACAAAGAGCCATCTCATTCCCTCATCTGTTCAGTTATTCCTTTTTATTTGCTACATAAGATTCCAGTATGTTTTCTGTTCACCTAAATCTTGACTGTTTTTTCTCAAAATGATCACATTACACAGTTTCTAATGAAACAGTAACTATATCTGCAAATAAGAAGTGAAGTCAACACTCTCTGTGATGGTTTCCCTTTCATAGTAAACATGATGAGTGAAATTCTAGAATGTACCAATTTGTGGAACCTAAAAATTAATTGAACTTAGGGAGATAGAGACTAGAATGTTGGTTGCTAGACGCTGGGCAGGGTAGTGGGCATGGAGGGGCTTGGGGAGTGGGTGGTTAATGGGTACAAAAAAATAGAAAAAGATTAAAAGATCTAGTATTTGATAGCATAACAGGGTGGCTATAGTCAATACTAATTTAAATGCACATTTTTAAAGTAACTAAAAGAGTGTAATTCGATTGTTGGTAACACAAAGGATAAATGCTTGAGATGATAGATACCCAATTTGCCCTAATATGATTGCTACACTTTGTATGCCTGAATCATAATATCTCACGTACCCCATAAATATATACACTCACTATGCACCCACAAAACTTAAAAAAAAACTTTAAAAAGATTTTTAAAAGTAAAAAAAGAATGTACTAGACGTAATTTTTAATGGAGTCACTGTTTGCTTGTTACTTTTGAATTTTACGTTTCAAGGAGTCATTTTTCGAGGCAAGTAGCTGAATATTCTTCTGCTGAACCCTTTTAACAAATTAACGGGAGCCAGGATGTAGCCCCAAATTAAGAGATTAGTTAGAAACAAATAATGGACTCAAATTACTGAGATTAGGTTCAATACCACAGAGCAAGACTGAATGTAAAAGCAGACAGTAAATGGTCATATAACATCAATTAATATTTCCATGTTGCAAATAGAGCACTTTGAAATTTGTCATTCATTAATTTAATCTCTGTAGTAACTGTTACTGAAAGGTCTATTTGGAGATCAAAAGTAAGTCTTCTTATTCCAATATAAGGAGGCAGTATAACGCTGTGGTGTCTAACAGTGACTTGAATTTCCATGGACTATTTCTTCTTTGATATCAGCAGTCACATCAAAATATATTTAAGTAAAAGTAACAATTCTCTCTGGCTATTTTTTAAAATTTTCTGAAAGACTTAGAGCAGTCTGCGTTTATAATGGGTTAATACTGGAAACAATACTATGAGCTGTGGCATTCTATTACTTTGACAGTCATATCTTGGAGGAATGATAATCCTTTTATAGGGCAATTATCACCTCATTGCAACATGTAGTAAACAAGCCTTCTAAAAGTCAGTGTACATTGTTAGAGTTTATTGTACCTGATATGACACTCATCTACCAAGAGTATGCCTATGTCTCAATAATTAAAATGAATACATATTTCAAGCTCTAGTGCACAGATAAAAAAAAAATCATGGCTTATAGATTGTCACCCCATTCTCCTATATGCCCATGGCAGACATCAATAATTGATCTTGGCATACTTTCCTGGTGAGCTTACACTAGGCCTCACAATTTCTCTCAAAGAAAGAACTCTCCAGGCAGTTACTGACGATCAATTGAAGTTGGTGGTGAAATGCAAGTGATTTTTCATTCTTCTTCTTCTATAAGAAGAAGCCTCTTCTATAAGTCTATTTGTACCTTGCTTATACAGGAAGTGGCATCCGTACATTACAGTAGCATTTTTGATAAGTGTTTTTTCATGTTAAAATAGAGTAACAAATGAGAGTAGTATATTTTATATAAACAGTCACAATAGATAATTTCTCGGGGAACAAAAAATATGATTGTTGAGCTTTAGTTGGGATGAATTGTTAAGGATGTTGAATTACTTTTAGGGCAGTTTGCTATTTTTTTCACATAGTAACAGTGTGAGATATGTCGCTATGGAATCTTAGTTTGAAAACAAGATCAGCGGGTCAAGCATAACTAAATAATTTCATCATATTGTTTTTGAATACTTAGCAATGTAGTCAACTATTGCATGCTTTTCTGAGGAGTGCAAAACAAAGACAGGACAAGGGTCCCGATCTCAGGAAACTAAATCATGTAACAGGGTATAATTTTTTGGGAGAAAGCAGCAACTTTATTTTACTTGAAAGCCTGTGAAAAATTAACAACAACAGATAACTGCTATCAGTGAAAGTGTCAAGAAAAATTAATCAATCATATCTAAATTGCATTTGTGGGTCTTTCTATCTCACCATATAAACTTATATGAAAGTTTAAATTTTTATTTTAAAAAAACCCTAAAACCTTTATCATGATCTTGTTTAAAATATCACTATTTATAAAATGCTGTTAGTTTGAAGATACTTGAAGTTTCTTTCTTTTACATCTTTCGGTACCTAAGCTTCTTGGTGGTATCTTAATAAAGTTAAAAGTTGTTTTTTAGATGAAAGGCATAGAAAATCTTTATATAGATAACAACCATATCCTAGCATTTTGAATAGCCTTTTTTCAACAATCATTTGCTGTGAGACATGCTCAAATGACTTAACTGATATATTGTTTTCAGTTCAGTTTTCCTGATTATAAAATGAAAAGTTTGAATTGAGTTACTTTTAATTTTCAATGTCTAACGTTGCTGAGTGACTTTAATTTTCAAGGCCTTTTTCTAGATCAAAAAAGCCGTTTATTTCCAAAGCTAGTGGTCTTCAAGAACGAAGGTTTAGGTTGACCTATATGTGGCAGTATCTCATAGCCTGAGAATGCACTCCCAGGCCACCTAGCTCCTTCACAATGGGTTGCCCCCGGCGTATGTCAAGTCCCCTACTAGAATCCTCCTAGTGTCTCTGAAGCCATGCCTGAATGTTTTCCTAGATTAAGCATGGCTTTTTTTCCCTGCTGATTCTACTTCGGCATGCCTAGTGTATGATTTCCCAATACCCTGTGACAATCATGGCTTGCTTATCAAATCTCCATTTCCTTAGTTGATAGTGTTACTTCCTTTACACTCTGATTCCCTAAGTCTCTGCCTATGAAGCACAGTCCTTTCAGCTGAGAGGTGGTGATTAGAAGATGCCATATATGCATAGTTTAAGGTTATTACTCTCAAATGCTTAAATTCCAGTGAGGGATATTATACTCAGTTATAACAGACAACGACAGTATAGAATAACAGGATATAAAATGCTGCCAGAGAAGCATAGAGAAAGGAAAATATCAGCTAAGGTATAGAGATTGGCTTCAAAGAAGAATTGAAAGACAGATGATATTTTAATACACAAAACCTATGTGAATTATTTAGGCTATTCATTGATATGTGCATTAATTTTTAAAATTAATTTAATTAATTAATTAGTTTTTTCACTAGAGAGAGGATCTCACTATGTTGCCCAGGCTGGCCTTGAACTCCTGGGTTCAAGCAATCCTCCCACCTCAGCCTCCCAATTACCTCCCAGGTAATTCTTCCCACCTCGGCCTCCCAATTACCTCCCCAGTAATTCCTACCTCCTGGAATTACAGGTGCGAGCCACCATGCCTGGGTGACATGTGCATTATTCATTAAACCAAGTTTACCTCACTGTCATAAATACAACTCAAATTCCTACGGTGTTTTGAGGTAAATGTTGGTTAAAATTGAGAATTTTTTTAAAACCCCAGCTGTATGACCTAGGGATAATATTTTCTCTGAAGCTCTGAAGCAGAAAAATTACCATATATCCACATCATACTTTTTTATTTTATTTTATTATTTTATTTTATTTTTTTCAGACGGAGACTCGCTCTGTCGCCCAGGCTGGAGTGCAGTGGCGCAATCTCGGCTCACTGCAAGCTCCGCCTCCCGGGTTCATGCCATTCTCCTGCCTCAGCCTCCCGAGTAGCTGGGACTACAGGCGCCCGCCACCAGGCCCGGCTAATTTTTTGTGTTTTCAGTAGAGACGGGGTTTCACCGTGTTAGCCCGGATGGTCTCGATCTCCTGACCTCGTGATCCGCCCGCCTCGGCCACCCAAAGTGCTGGGATTACAGGCGTGAGCCACCGCGCCCGGCACCACATCATAAGGTTTTAAGGATTAATTAAAGGGATGTACATAAATATTCTAGAATACAACTTGGAACAAAAAAGAAATGCCAGTTTTCCAGTTTTCACTAATGCAGCACTGAAATGTATCCTTATAGATGTTCTCACATCTGCCACATTGAGGAAAAGAAAAACTTTCTGCTACCAATAAGGAAAGATAATCCCAGTGAGGATTGTGTACAGATTTTGTAAACAATCAAATACCAACTACCAACTTGTATGCTCTACGTATTAGAACAGGTTCAGGGAAGAAAATCAGCTCCTGTCTCCGAACATATAAAACACATAAATTGTCCAAAAGATCAACTTTACAGTCATTCTTTTGAATATTTATTTTCATGATTTTTGAAAAAAAAGGAACCAACTTCAAGAAACTAACTGTATTCTTCCATTTATTGTATTTTAATAACATTTAAACCTACCCTTTCACCTAAAACTGTACTCTCTTGATATAAACCTTAGAGAACAGCTTATTTATGTACAGAAGAAACTGTGGACTGGAATGTCTAATCAATCACTTTTTATACTAGGAAAGAAATAAAAACAAGCTACCTGTCCGTCAAAAATATTGAATGTATACATTATGATTTAATCACCAATAGAATTAGCAGTGAAATGAATAAATTATAGCTGCATGTAAAATGTTATTGAACCTACCAAATAATATTAGCAGAAAAATAATCAAGTTGTAAAGGGATATATACAGTATGATCAATTTTATATAATGTATAGAATATTTATATAATTTTATACTTATATAAAATGTATAAAATATATTATAAAATGCATAAAACATATATTTTAGGGATTATAGAGACATATGCATTAAAAGTATAAGGAAATGTATGGAAAAAGTCATCTCCGATTCAGAATCAAGATTACTTTGAGGTTAAGTTGATCAAAAAAAAAAATATCAGAAGGCTTGAGGTCTATTTTAATGTTTTCTAAGTAAAGTGGTGGGTTCTACTATTGATTTAATTTGTATTAAGTACAACAATGGAGTTAATTTTATTCTTTTTTAAAACTTTATACTTAAATACTAAAATAGTACAAGGATACCTTTAATTTAAAATGATGCATGTGTATATTTTTTTTAGTTGAAATCATGACACAGCCATCACAGGCTGAATCAGAGTGCGGTATGTGCTGTGATAACCTTTATCAGCAAATGCATTTATTCCTGGGTGCAGCACCTGTTGTCTGCTAATGGATTATACCTGCATCCTCCTGTGGAGAATTGTGCTTGGCTAATAGGAATCCATATTTTCGTAACTGCCTGGGAGGTTTGACTCTCCCGCACTGAGAGAGCCCTTAACTAATGACTAAGTAATGTCAGGGTAAAGATTCCAGTCCTCTCCCCTCTGTGTAGAATAATCTCTGCAGGAGGAGATTCCAGTGAGGATGTGGAGTACACAACTCATCCAAGTAGAGATGATAGATCCCAGATTTCAGAGGAATATCTGGAGATTTACCCTTCTGAGTCATCAGTATATAGATGCCGTTAAAGGAAATAGATGGAGAAATGCACAGGAATTGAGTCCAAGGGCACTCAAGGGAGTAGAGCCTGGGTGAATGCAGAAAATGCATAACAGATATGAAGAAGACAAGGCAGGGAGGCAGAATAAGATCCAAGAGAGTGTGGTGCCCAGAAGTCCAAGTAAAGAAACCATGGAAGAAGGAATTTATAATCAGCTGGGTTAAATGCTACTACTAGATGGGATAAAATGAGGTTTTGTAATTAATTATTGATGACTTTTGAATAGCTTTGCTTCCTTGCTGAGGATAAAGACCTCATAGGAATGAAGTTTGAAAGAAAATGTGAAGGCTACAAAAATAATTATTTGAAGAGATTTTTTTCCATTTTTATTTTATTTTATTTTTATTTCCTATGAAGTGATGTGAAGAAATAAGGCAGCCACTGAAGATAATGTAAAGAGTGTGGAGTCAAGGGTCTTTTGTTTGTATGATGGAAAAATATATTGCATGTTTATAAAATGCTAGGAGATTCTCTGAAGAGAGGGAACAACTTATGATTCAGAAATGAGGACTAATGTCAGAGCTTTAGTAAAAAGAAAGAGTAGAGGAGTTTGTTTTAGAGAGGGACACGTGTTCATTTATTAGGAAAAGAAAGGCAGAATTTATGGGTATAGATGAATATGCGTCTTCAGATTTAGTGAAGGGAAAGATGAGAAGCCATTTTCCAGCCTTATTCAGTTTTCTCCCAGGAGAACAAGAAGGGGCTAGATATTAGAGAAGAGAGAAACCAGCATGAGTAGCTGAGTAGAAGGGTAAATTGACTAGAGAAAGATAAAGAGATTAAAAGCCACAGTGACATTTACACTTGTGAAATTAATGGGAGACCAGTCAGAGTGGCTGTGTGACTTTCCACATTTACCTGAGAATGTATGTGCTGAGTAGGTGAGAGAATTTGATTTCAGTGTAGAGGTGGTTTTGACAAGTGAATACAAAAAAAGCAAGGGTAGGACGAAGGACTTTAAAATGTATACAAGGTACTGATTATAATGATAGACATTGCATCAAAAATAGGTAAGGAGGGATTTGAGGAAATAGTGGGAGTGCTGGTTGAATCCTTGGAATAGAACCTTAGAAAATTTTCTGAGTAGTAGTTTAAGAGATAAGAGACAGAGGTCAAAGGAAGAATGTCTGAAATTGATGTACGGAGATGAAGATGTTGTTGATGAAACAGTTTTGCATATGATCATGCTGTTGAATGAATAAGGTAGGGAAGACCACAATATCATTGGAGGAGAGGAGGTTTAGAATCTGAGATGTCCGGGTATTTTAAACATTATGTGGATATTGAAATGATCAAAAATTAATTGAGCATCTGATGAAGAAAAATAAAAAGACAAAACAAGGTTAATACTAAAATCTAAATCATGGGAGGGAGTATTGCCTGGAGTTCCCTAAATGATTGCAATGGAAAGATAGGAGTGTCTAATATTTTTAAATATCTTTTTGGCTGGTACACTGCCTCATACCTGTAATCTCAGCATGTTGGGAGGCCAAGTCAGGCGATTGCTTAAGCCCAGAAATTTGAGATAAGCCTGGGCTACTTGGCAAAAACATATCTCTACAAAAATTACAAAAAAAAATTAGCCGGGTGTGATGGCCCACCTATAGTCCAAGTTATTTGGGAGACTCAAGTGGGAAATCACTTGAGCCCGGGGGGGTCGAGTCTGCAGTGAGCTGACGATTGCACCACTGCACTCCAGCCTGGCTACAGAGTGGACCCCTGTCTAGGAAAAAAAAAAGCTATGTATATATATAAAACTATGTGTTTGTGTATATATATAGAGAGAGAGAGATGATAAAACCCCATCTCTACTACATGTATATATACACACAAACAAAATTTTTCCTGAAAACATAAAGACATAAAATTAGAAGGGAACCGGCAATTAGGAAGATATTTGTAACAAATATGACTAAATGTTGGTAAACAATATATAAAGAATGTATACAACGACATATGCAAACTCGCAAGAAAACATTAAATTCAAATATAATTAGATTGATTGAGATACTCAAAGAGGCCATGTACATTGTTAATAAATAAATGAAAAAAAATGCCCCACTTGAAATGAAATAAAAATTATAAAATTACCAAAACATTAAAAATGATAATTCTCAACCTTCTTCCAAGTGTAAAGAAATAATCATTTTATCTGAGGTGGCCATTGCACATTTTTAAAAACCAATGTAGTCATATATAGAAAAAATAAGTATACTCATAATTTTTGCTCTAACTCCAATAATTTCTCCTAAAACATCAGTGGTTCAAAGATTTTTGTTCATATGTATTTTTCAAAACATTATTTGCAATGAAGAATACGTGAAAATAATATAAATATTGAGATGGTTGTAGCAAAAGGAATAGGTTTTGTATATTTACTCTTTAGGGACAAAGCTAGAGAACAGAAAACATGACTGTACAGTTCTACTGTTATACATTGTGGTGCTCATGGTTGAGTCAACTTGTGGGAGAGAAAGAGAAATAAAAAGAAGTGAGGCCAGGTGCAGTGGCTCACACCTGTAATCCCAGCACTTTGGGAGGCCAAGGCAGGTGGATCACCTGAAGTCAGGAGTTCGAGACCAGCCTGGCCAACATGGTAAAACCCCATTACTACTAAAAATACAAAATTAGCCGGGCATGGTGGCACATGCCTGTAATCCCAGCTACTCTAGAGGCTGAGGCAGGGAGAAAGGGAGTATCACTTGAACCCAGAAGGCGGAGGTTGCAGTGAGCCAAGATCCTGCCACTGCACTCCAGCCTGGCCAAAAAGAGTGAAACTCCATTTCAAAACAAACAAACAAAAAAAGGAATGAATATTGCATTTTCCTGGACGGTTTTCCTGAAAAGAGACTTGTGTCTATAATAATCTATTTATAAATTATCTTATGTTTTATTACTATTGAAAGCACTGAATGCTACCTAAGTACTTTTTCTCTCCCATTCTAACTTAAAAGTCCTTGACTTTTGTATGCCCTCCATATAGGACTTCACATAGTGCCACACACCAAAGTTTCCTTTAAGACTGCTTACTGAATATATTGGTTGAAGAAATAAACTAGCAGCTGCTTCAATAAAGCCAGGTTTTGTTAGGAGAAGGCAATTGCAGCTTTTTTGATTTAAAATATTTTAACGTATTCTAACAATAGTTGAAACTATCTAAGAATGTCTAAGAATGGCAGTTCATAGTTGCTTCTAGTTTAACTTTTGAAAATGCTGCCTACTAAACTACCTCAGGCGTTTTGAGGAAGTTATGAGTTGTTCACAATTTTCTAGTCTTATACCATTACTTAGATTTCAGGGTTCCCCAAAGGTTGATGACAGGTTGTTTTTTTGTTGCTGTTTGTTTGTTTGTTTGTTTTCAGTTATTTATTTTTAACAGAAACACATGGAATATATTCTTTTCTTAAAAAAATTCTGTTTCTTTATTATTTTTTATTTTACTCTAATTTCCAGGATACATGTGCAAAATGTGCAGGTTTGTTACATAGGTATACATGTGCCATGGTGGTTTGCTGCACCTGTCAACGCATCATCTAGGTTTTAAGCCCCACATGATTTAGGTATTTGTCCTAATGCTCTCCCTCCCCTTCCCCCACCCCGTGAGAGACCCTGGTGTGTCTCCCACATGGACGATATTCTAAACTAATCATTCAGTGTTTTTGAAATTGCTGCAATTACTGTAGTCCAAGGAAATCTTGGTTCAATTCACAGAGCAAAAAAAGAAAAAATAAATATTTTATTATTAAGACATTTCTATAACCTTTTATTATTATTTAAACCATATGAAATTGTTTATGAAAATTTAAATACAGATCTGGTATGTCAAAATGCTAATTATCCTCATTAAATGTTTAAATGATTTTTATTGCCGAGTGATAAATTGTCGTTCATCAAATATTTTAAGATTCAAGTCATTCATGTCTTCCTTCATATTTGCTCTGAGACATCATCTATGGTATTATTATCCTATATACTAGGCAAAATTCAGTTAGTGCACAACCTTCTAGTTTTGCCATAACCTAATTGGAGAAGCTTTGTAAAATATTTTGCCTGAAGACAGTCATAAAGGGTTGCATCTGGGGCTATCAATTCATTCAAAATGAAAGGCCTACAAATACTGCAGAGTATATTCTCACTCATCATTGTGACAGATACTAAGTGAGATAAAGACCACAACCTGTCTGGAGGATTCAAAGTCCATCTATCTGACGGTGGCAGGTTTTATTCCTCTCATTATTTAACCGTGTAAACTGATGAGTTAGAGGACCAACAGCTGCCTGTTTCTGTAGTGTCTTCTTAAACATGCATTTTCCATCCATTTTAAATAGGTCTGTTATTTTTCCAACACATTGGACAACCTAACATTTTTTTTTCTTCAGTTAAACTGACATAGAGTCCAGGAAATTGTCTGTGTTCACATGACACAGCTGCATTCTTAAAAATGCGACAATTGTCAGAACAATTAAATTTTCCACTCAATAAGGCAGCACCCGTGTTTTCCCTGTAAGCTATTATGGAAAGAATTTGTTGTTTAATTTATTTTTTTCCCTGAAGGCATTCTACCAAGGACAGGGCAGAGGATGTTAAAGGTGGAAGAGTTTTAGACGTGAAGCATTTTGATGCCCTCATAAAAGGAGGGAAGGGAGATGAGGATGCAAAACAAACTGGGAATTAGTTCAAGGTTAGCCAGCTGCTAGTAGGAGTTCTGAGGAATCTGACAGCAGCCACGGAACTTCAGTCCACTGTTCTATCTGCCTGACATGTTGTGTTGTTATAGTTCTGCCTATGAATCCGTTCCTTTTCTCTTTCCAGCCACCCATCAGTACATGGTGTGTGTGTGTGTGTGTGTGTGTGTGTGTGTGTGTGTGTGTTTGTGCATGTTAGGCATTTATATATATGTGAGTACAAACACAAAGACACAGATACATATGCACTTGTTTTGGTAACTTACCAGATGTGGGTGCATCTTGACATTGAGGAAATATTTAATATGTTTTCCAAAAAAATACTGTTATTTTGAAATGACTTGTATTTAATCTTGCCTGAAGGGCTTTACATAAAGAGTAGTGGATGACAGTGGTTCTCCAGGAGAAAAATAGTCTAGGGGGACACTTGAAAGGGTAGAACTAATTCCAGTTTCATTTGTCATCATTATTGATGTTAATACAATTTTGAGGTGATAACAAATTAGGAAACAGTATAGAAATAAGTAAAGCCATTTCTATAATTCAAAAAGTATTAGACGAAGTATTTTACTACAGAAAAAAATATAAAATATATAACAAAGGCTTTACTAATTAGGATATGGAAATTTCTCCTTTTCTCCTTGCCAAGTCTCTATTGAGTTATCAAAAGTGACTTACAGCAATATAACAGTGTCTCTGTAATAGAGACACAGAAAATAATATGTAATTGTTGGTAAAAAAATTTTTAAGGAAAACGTCTTACGTCATAACATTGCATAGTCTCTTTAATCAGGAAACACTGAATTACTAGAATTCACGTAATAGTATTTACACACACAAGCACACACATATGCAAGACACCCCCAACGCACAGACAGTTATTCATATTTTATTTTTAATTTGAAAAGTAACCCATGCCCTTTTAGAGTGCCTGAAAAGTCGCAAATAAATACATCAATTAGGAGAAAACTATCCAGAGTATCAAATAACATGACCATAGACATAAACTGCTTGCTTCTATTAATTATGCATCATCACCATGCTTTTATATGGCTTTATAGTCCACGGGAATTATATTTTCTTGTTTGATCCTCCCAGTGGAATTGTGAGATTGGGCAGAAAGAAAACTGAAAATCACTGAAGTTAAGGTATTACATAGTTAGAAAGTGACAGAAATATTATATGAACCCAGATCTTCCAGTTTTCATGTTTTTTTTTAATGCTACATCAGTGTTTCCTAAGGTTAGGTACCTGGACCAGTAGCATCAACATCATCCCCAAACTTGATAAAGATGCAAATCCTTGGCTGTCAAGTCAAACTTGGGAGGCGGGGTTCAGCCATTTGTATTTTGTTTTATTTTATTTATTTATTTATTTATTTATTTATTTATTTATTTATTTATTTATTTTTTGAGATGGAGTCTTGCTCTGTTGCCCAGGCTGGAGTGCAATAGCCTAATCTCGACTCACTGTAACCTCCACCTCCCGGGCTGAAGCAATTCTCCCACGTCAGCCTCCTGAGTAGTGGGGTCCACAGGCGTGTGCCACCACGCCTGGCTAATTTTTGTATTTTTAGAAGAAGCAGGGTTTCACCATGTGGGCCAGACTGCTCTCGAACTCCTGACCTCAAGTGATCCACCAATCTCGGCCTCCCAAAGTGCGGGGATTATAGGCATGAGCCACGGCACCTGCCCTAGCCATTTGTATATTAAAAAGTTCCCTAGGTGATTCTGATACACACCCAAGTCTGAAAACTGCTGACTTCTCAAATAAGTACCCTTTCAACCAAATTCAGTCTATTCCCTTAGGGAAGCAGTCTAGGGATAAAATTCAATCCAATGTAAAATGTTTCAATATGTAATATGTTCTAATGTATAGTTGGTTTTGTTATTTTTTGATTTTGTTTAATAATTATTTTTCATTTACATTGTGTAGATTTTCTTTCTTTCACATACAAGGCTTCCTAATATTTTGGAAACACTTACACCTTCACCACTGTCGCCATCCTTTCCAAACTGAAAATTAATACCTGTGACATGAGAATCAAAGAAAATATTTTAATTAAAATTTTCTTGGAAAGCAGGTGTGTTTGTTTCCCATTGCCGCTAAAACAAATTACTACAAACTTAGTGACTTAAAACAGATCTATTCTGTTACCGTTCTGGAGATCAGACATCTAAAATCAAGACGCCAGAAGTTCTGTGTCTGCTGGAGGGTCAAGGGGAGAATCCATGTCCTTTTTCAGCTTCTAAAGTCAGCCTACATTTCTTGGTTAGTAGCCTTTTCCTCAAATCCCTCCAACCACTTGCTTCTCTCATCATTGTCTATCTGCTGCTACCAACGGATTCTCTTGCTTCCTTTTACAACGGAGCTTTGTGATGATCCAGGATAAACTCTATCAAGATATCTAATTTATTCACATCTACAGAGTCCCTGTTACCATGTAAAGTAACATGTTCATAGGTTCTAGGCATTGGAATCTGGACATCTTTGGGGGTGAGGAGGTGCATTATTCACCTGACCACACCAGGGCAGGTGTGGTTGATATTATTTGACAATGATAATTCAGTACCAATGTAAAGGCACTAAGTCAGAGACAACAGAAACCAACAATTGCGGTAGTTTCACACAGTAGAGAAACTGATGTCTGAAATATCTAAAGACAAATGGATTCATACCAGTGAGCTAAGAAACATTATGTGATGCTTTTTGCCCTGTACTGTAATTGTTTGTCTTCTAGTCTGTCTGATTAAACTCTGAACACTGCTAAGAGCCACTCTGATTTCCTTCAGTAGTTTTGCAATCTCTGATCTCAATGCCCAACCACTAATAACCACTCAGTAAAATTTAGTTAGATGTTAATGTCACATAAAATGAAATTTTTCCACTAAAAGTGTCATGGAATATTGGTAAAAGAAATTTTATTACTATTAATCTGATTTGTTTTGCTTAAAAGTTTGTTTTTTTGTTTGGTTTTACAGATTTTTTTTTTGAATAAGGAAAGTAATAAAATATGCTAGGTGTTTTAAGACTCAATAATATGCATGAGATATACCAAGGCTGATGAAAAAAAATTGAGCATAAAAACTTGGAAGAGATAAACTTTGTAAAATTAAGAAAGAATTACATTAGAATGCCAATTGAAAATAGAATCCTGAATATGAAATATAGCATGTATACTTTAAAGCAATGACAGTAGAAAATACATTGGACTATATGACAATAAGATGTAAACTTTAGCTCTGAAATTTATATTGTTATGAGCAAGCAGCAATCTAATACAGAAGAATGTATCATTATTCTTCATTGTTGAAGATTTATTTGGAGAGACATCAAATATTTATAAATTCTTCACTCCCCTCATTTTAAAACTAGGAATCTAAGGCCTGGAGATAATGTGTAGTCTGAATTATGTTTAAATGAACAAATGAAAAACAACTGATTTATAGGAAACTTAGCAAAACAGACAAGTGGGAAAAGCAAAATTTTCCTGGCATTGACATTTTTCAAGTCTTTGCTATATTTTGGGAGATGATATAATGACACAACAATATTTAATGCAGCAGCTTTTATTGCTCCTTTGTAGACAATTGTTCCAATAACTGTTTACTATTGCTGGCATCATAGGAAGAAAATTGTGTACCTCAGCTGCTGTCCTCCCTGTGGCTGTAATGAAGTCCCTGTAGTAATCTAATTGTATGGACTTAGCAGGAAAGTGGAATTATAATCGACAATATAGAGGAAAGCAAATTGCACTATCAGAAGAGACATGCTGACTTAAGTCTCGTTGACATGAATGTCAAAAGTGCTTTTCATAATGGCTGAAGTTTATTTTCTCTAGCTTATTTAACTTTCAAGCATTAAAATTATGCAGGAAGCTTTATATTTTGAGTTAAAACTTTGCACTTTAATTTTTACTGGCATTCATTCATAGTGAAGTGATTTATAAAAATGTTAATGTTATCAATAACGTTTGCATAAGGTGCAAACATCTTATGATTCTTAAAATAAATTTGAAGAATAAAATATTGTGCTTACATCACAAACTATTTTGTGTATATTTTATATTTCGAGGATAAAACATCTTTTCTAGGTTTTGATCAGGGTTTTAAAATATTTTTTGTACCTTTTCAATTAAGCCTTTATAACTCAACTATTAGCAAATCTAGGAAATGCACGAGCTCTAGAAATGAGCATTATGATGTGAAATATAAGATTAATAACATATCAATTCATTTGTTTAAAAGGGGCCTGGATTATTAAAGTTAGGAATTTCAGTAAAACATAATATTTAATTTCTAAGTAGACTTAGTTTGCAATTTCCAGAGGAATCAGAGAAATATCCAAATCTTTAAAAAGAAGGATCAAATTTATAGGTAGTTTATTTGATATTGTTAAATGATTGTAATCCTTTCAACTATTTATAATCATATTTATGAAGAGAGAAAATAAAAGACATTGAATAGTGAATAAGATTTATTAGATGACTCTGGTCTCTTGTCCTGTTTCTCATTTATTATTTCACAACATTGAGCAAGTCTCTTGGAATCTCATTTTTGCCTGAAAAAAAAATGATGGCATAATATTTGTGAAAAGTGTTACATAAAGAAAAATATGTGTTTGCATATATTTATGACATTATATACATTATATAGCACATATATGACATATATAGTGTATGTACTTTATAATATATGACATATATAGTATAAGTACTTTATAATATATGACATATTATTCATAATATGAATACATATTCATGATATATTATATATCATATATTCATATATATTATAAAGTACAGATACTATATTATATATAGTATATACTATGACAGTATATAGTATAATGTCATATATATAGTACATATAGTATATACTGTTTATACATATATATGTACTAGGAAATATATCTACAAAGAGAATATACAACTCGATTGAAGATTTTAATGGTTTTGCCATTTGTTGTTTCATTGTTATAAAATACACTTTAAAACAAACTCTAGTCCACTATTTGAATTATAAGCAATAATATAGAAAGAAGAAATAATAGATTAAATAATAAAAAACATAATTTTAAAGAATTAATATCACGTATCTGAGTAAAAGAACTTGATTTTATTAATTCTTCATAGTGCATACTACTGTGCTGTACATATAATGAAACACAGACAACAATATTTCTTGACCAATTAAAATGTATACCTTACATCTTTTAGAAAAATCCTTCCAGATATTTCCAAAATATTAACAATTGCTCTGTCATGAGCTTCTTTATAATTTTTTCTTTAACTCCTGTTTATGTGCTAAGGAATTTATGACTTACCACACCATATTATTTTTGCTTTTTTATTCATATCCTCTGTCCTAGTAGACATAAGATATTTAAATCTATTTTTTCTTGGATTCAAATTGTCCATAGCATATTTTTGAATGATGTAAAAATATAAAAATACTTGATTATTACTGTTCTTTTTTTTACCAAAGAACAATCCTCATCAATTTGGGAAGTCAATTCTTACTACTGTACACACATAAAGTAGCAAAGAAAGAAGGAAAACCTACTATTCAGCCAGGTCAGTTGAATCACTCCGTAGGGCAAAGAGTTGGCTTCATAATCATCAAATTGCTCTTAAAACTGGGTGAAAGGAATTACAGGAGTCAATAAAGAAACCTGGACTAAGAAGTTTGTTTCAAATTCTGTCAGTGCCATATCTAGTTGGGCAAAATACGGAAGATTTCTTCTTGGCCTTAATTTCCACATACATAAAACGAAAGTGATGGATAACATATTTCAAGATTTATCCATATACATCTCCCTAGTAGAATAGTTTGTGCTGTGTGTTTTTCTTTTACTGTAATTTCTTAAGAATATTTACAGGGTTGTAGTCCACTGAAGGAAATATCTATGTTCCTCCAAATTAAATGCAACTATGAATATTATGCGTAATAATAATAAAGTTTAGATTAGTCATACTTCTCCCTCAATTTTAAAAATAAGACATCTAAAGTTTAAAGAGATCAAGTAATTTGCTCAAGATTCATTTTTGAAAGACTGCCTGAACCAGTATTGTCTAAAATTCAGTTATGTCTGATTCCAAAGCTATATTATCTAAATCTAATACATGTTTTTTTCTTCAGACATTTCTGGTGAATGTCATTAAGTTTGGTTGGTATTATTAGGAAATGAGTTCTAACTCAGTAGGTTATATATTAAAATTTCTATTTTTTTTTTTTTTTTTGAGATGGAGTCTCACTCTGTCATCCAGGCTGGAGTGCAGTGGTGCAATCTCAGCTCACTGCAACACTCACCTCCCAGATTCAAACAATTCTCCTGCCTCAGCCTCCCAAATAGCGGGGATTATAGGCATGCACCAGCACACCCAGCTCGTTTTTTTTATTATATTTATTTTAAGTTTGAGGGTACATGTGCACAACGTGCAGGTTTGTTACATATGTATACATGTGCCATGTTGGTGTGCTGCATTTTTAATAAACATCACCCAAGCCCATCAGTGTGCTACATTGAACAAAGGTCACACAATTGATGGAAGGGTGAAAGAAGAATGCATATTTTAGTGGTAGGCAAAAAGAGAAAAAATTCATTGTACTCATCATACACCATAGCAAATGTAACGATCTGAATTATATTTGACAAATTTTCCATGTCATAGTCAGAGGTAGTATCGATTATAATTATTTTCCCTTTAATTAGAGACTAAGACTGAGGATGAGTGTACCAAATCCCAGAGGGTAAATTTAATTGATAACATTCTAAAAATAATTTACATTTTCATGTTATTAAAAAAATTCTTTGTTATCAATCTATTAGACTACACAGACTACATTTCTTGTTGAGAATTATTTTACAAGGCAGTTAAAATTCAGAGAGATGACATTTCTTCCATTCTGTTCCTCCTCCCTTCCTAACGTTTTTATTTCTTGCTTTTTTGCCATTTTCTCTTTTCTTTTCTCATTTTTACTTTATTTTATTTGCCCAAGTAGTTTAAACATTCTATTTGCTCATGAAAGTAATGTAGCTTTGTTGTAATATTTGAATCACATAAAATGTTCTAGGGCAAAATTTTTAATTAGTGAACTAAATTATCGTTATTGTTTATTCTGATTATTAATGTATTCACTGAATAAATAAATCAAAGTTTTCCTGTATTTACTTTCAAATGATGTGTTTACCTATATCATAAATTTTGAAATCTCTTGGTGGTGTTAATTCAAGAAACTTACTTATTGATTGTGCTGGTCATTACTTTCTTGGCAACATTAAATCAAGTATACCATTTCCTGAAATCTTGATTTTATGCAAATCCACTCCTTTAAAGACAGACTGGGACTTTTAGCAGATGGATGAGGCAGTTTTTTTTTTTTTCTTCTGGGTAATCAATGGCTATTCCTGAAAAATTTTATCATATTCTAATTTGGTCTAATAACATAGACACAAAATTCTTACTAATATACCTGAAACAGTCTGAATTAATGATCTCTAGCAAAAATGTTTGAAATATATATGTGTATAAATTAATTCTGTATAAAAATTTCTAATATTATCGCTCAACTTTTTAAACATCTTTTTGTAAAGATGCCACTGAAAGCCATTGAGAAAGATGTTACCCATGAAGTATTCTATAAAATTGACAAGGAAACAGTGGATGCAATTTTGAGTCTCTTACAAGCTTGCCCAAAAACTCAGTTTATAATACAATGCATTTGGTAAACCCAAATAGCAAAACTATTTGCTGAAATATTTTCATATTTGTTATTTTGAGCCTGTTAAAAAGAAGACTTTTTGTAAGTCTCATCTTCCTGATTTATGAATTACACTTAGTATTGAACATCATTTAAAAATCAGTGACCTAAGACATAACTAAATTAATAAAAGAGAGGTGAAGTATTACATCTGCTTCCTATTAGATTGGCTGCATATATTCTATCCATGGCTGCAAGGTTTAAAGTTCACTGCAATAAGACTGTCACTGTGTGGCTAAGCAAAACAGCATGTGCTGTTAAAAGAGTTACTAACAATATATAAACAAGTTGTAAGCATATCTTAAAATTAATTTTTGGTAGAGGCAGGTCTCCCTGTGTTGCCCAGCTTGTCTCAAACTCCTAGGCTTAAGCCATATTCCTGCCTTCGTCTCCCAAAGTACTGGAATTACATCTGTGAGCCACAACACCCAAACTTTTTTTTTTTTTTTAGCTCCAAATGCAAGTGTAGATAATTTCATATTAACACATTCGTGGAACGCATTTTACAATATTTTCTTTTGTTTTTTTAATTAAACATTTTTTTCAGTTTTTTAAAAATCTGGCTATATCTTCTACTAAGATATAGTAGAAGTTTGGTTGAAACTTTATTATCATTTAGCAATTGTGTAAAACCCTCTCATTATGTAATGAGGAAATTTTATATGACACATACATAAAATATGTATTAGAGACGGTATATATTAAGTCTTTAATGCTTATGCCTAACTTTAGAAATTGTTCTCTTGGTTGTAAAATAAATGAATAATAAAATCCAAGTTTATTTTGTTTTTTTTTTAATGTAAGAAACACATAAGGATATTCTGTAAATAATATGACTTTCCAAAGAGTATATTTTAGTGAATTTGTTCTATATGATGACATGACCTTGTATAATTTGCAATTTAACTAGGTAATCACCACTACGAACTTTATTAATCTGTCAAAATTTCCTCGTTTTAATTATATTCTATGTCAGTAGCATTTGAGGAAATTGGCTAAGAAAATTGGGAAGAAAACAAAGAACTAATTTATGAATAATATTATGCATAATGCTTAAAACGTAGATATTTCATAAAAGAAAGTGATATACAATACATTTTTAGTACCAGTATTGTCATCCACTTAAACATGCAGTTTTGACCACAGTAATGAGACATCCTGAGGTCCTTCCATGGAAAGCTGTTCTTTGCCTAACTTTGCATCACTTTGCATTTATGATGACTATTATTTTTCTTAGTAGTTTCATTTGTTTTTTAATTAAAAATGCTTAAAAT
This sequence comes from Homo sapiens, assembly GCF_000001405.40. NCBI lineage: Eukaryota > Metazoa > Chordata > Mammalia > Primates > Hominidae > Homo > Homo sapiens. The sequence continues at coordinate 14,586,549 of NC_000008.11, read as the reverse complement.
GATAATATTTAAAATTAATAAATGAAAGCATATTTTGCGCTGGGCGTGGTGGCTAATGCCTGCAATCCCAACACTTTGGAAAGCCTAGGCGGGCAGATTGCTTGAGCCCAAGAGTCAAGACCAGCCTGGCCAACATGGAAAAACCCTGTCTCTATTAAAAACACAAAAATTAGCCTGTTGTGATGACACACGCCTGTAGTCCTAGCTACTTGGGAGTCTGAGACACAAGAATCACTTGAGCCCAGGAGGTAGAGTTTGCAGTCAACAGAGATCGGGCCACTACACTCCAGCCTGGGTGACAGAGTGAGACTCTGAGGGAAAAACAAAAACAAAACAAACAAAAACCCAAAAAGTATTTTATATATGCAGCATACGTTTTCAATTAATTTAATGATTATAGCATGAAATCTAAGACAACGATGATTATGAAGTAGAATTATTCTCAGCTGCGTGTATAGTTAATAGGATTAACTAGTCCGTTATCCTTTTAACTTAGTATTGCTGGACGTTTTGTTTTAAATAAAATTATCTGTACATGATTGCCCCCATTCTTTTTTATTTGCTTTTGGAGATATAATGCCACCAGGTGACTTTCTTTGATATTGTTCTTTGTCTTAAAAAATTGAAATAAAAGCAACTGTGTGGCCAACTTCACCACTGCATGATTTACTGAAGGTGATTTATTAATAAATCTACTTCTTGAGTGTTCATGGTTTGCTACGAAACAGAATTGACAATCACATGAACTTTTTGCTTTGTTTTCATTGAATCATCTTACCTCTTTTGTGGCAATAAACAATTAATCGTTGAGTATTAAATGTATTAAGAAACATTATATATTTTTTGTTAATGTTTGAACTCTGTAACATTAATTTCAATTGTAATTAAATTTTCTTTCAGAGAATGAGTCTGATATATTTTTCATAAAATAATAACCTTTGTAGGCTGAGAGTAAAACTTTAAAAGACACTAAAATACATTAATAGGTTTATTTTTGCCTTGGTTCCATTTCAAGTCTCTTAACAATTAGGAATATTGCAACCTTTGGAGAAATACCATATTCATAATATGGGAGTCATAATGTATTGAAATAGTTGTGTAGCCCTACAATGAAAATAGAAAAAATAGAAAGAAGTATAAACATTATAATTTATTATTTTCAGAACTACAAAGGTAAAATAAATACAGTATGAAATTTTCTTCATCCAAAAACTTTGCTAAAATGTCACAGAGCTACAGCTGATGATTCAAGATGAATAGTACAAATATATGAAACAAAAACAGTCTGAAGTTTTTATATTTAAGTGGGGAAAATAACTAGAGAACCAGAAGAATGCTTCTTGAAAAGTACATTTAACGCCGAAGCTAAATTTTACTGAGAGTTTCCTTGTTATCATAACAAAAAGCTAATGTTTATTAGTAGAGATTATCTAAATGCAGGGATCAGTTAAGTATTGACCTTTTCAGAATACTTCACATTTATTCTGTGACCTTGAAGCATCCTCATCCTGTAAGTTGAATGAGTTAGATTTTTTCTATTTCTTGTAGCCCAATGTTGTACCTGGCTAAAGTACCTGGGCTCAAGATTTATGCAAAACTAGTTGCTTTATAAGTCTTAAGATTTATTTAACAAATGACTGTAAGTAAATTTCCTAACCTTACATATTCTGTTTCTTTCTACAAAATTGGGAATAATAGTACTTATCTCTGTCATTGTGATCATACAGTGAATACTGTATGTGCTATTTCCTAGCCTAATTCCTATCACGGAAAATGTGTTTAATAACTGTTTTCTACCTTCCCTTTTCCCTTCTTTATGTGTAATTATGGAATTCTACTATATTCTAGGTACTACTCTAGATACTATGAATAAAAAAATTAAATTTAGCGTGCTTTTGGCCCTGAAGACCGCACAACTCTTTTATTTTAACTTTTGACATCTTTGCTCAAAATAAGATTACTTTGTAACCTAATCATTTGTAATTACCTTGTTTCCTCATGTCACGTTTCTCATCTGTCTCCCTGTGTTCCTTATGTCAATGCTCACAATACATTAATGGCATATATGTAGTCACTAGCTCAAATTCCTCCTGTATTCTCTGTTAAACATGCATTATTTATCATACATTTAAAAAATCTTAGCCTAGAATGTAAGCCCTCCAAGATCTCTAACCCAAATCCACATCATAAAAATCAAGACATACTCTCAACCTACTTACCACACAACCATAATTTGCAAATTCCAGCTTTCATGACTTTCTCGGGTTACCTGTGCTTTCTGCGCCTTGTAAATCATGTCCTCTCTTTTCATGATTTAAATTTTACTTGTCTTTCAATGCCGTATCTAATTCATCTGCCTCTCAAGTCTAACACCTAGTAGTTATTCCCCCTTTTGCTATTTAAATCTATGTGGTTTGTAGCAGTGATTTCATGCCTCAGTCTGCAATTTATATTAACGTTTAATATTTAAGTAAATGTTGAGCTCCCTGAGATAAAGAATAGGACTTATATTCTTGCATCCATAACAGAGTCATGCCCAGAAAAAACAAAATGAAACAAAACAAAACAAAACCACAATATTACGTTTAATACCTGCCCTGTTACAAAAATAATTTAAGGCATCATACATAATTGCATACCTCAAAATGGGAAAATAGAAATATTTGAGATAAGAAAGACCTAAATAAATAAAAGCTAAATTATTTGTTTATATATATATATATGTTTTGCCATATAAATTATTTTGAATAAAATTGAATATCATATAGATGATTGGCATGCTTATTGATAAATAATAGACATTTTTACTCTCTGAAAAGTATTAAAGACAAATTATTCACAGAAGATTTTTCATCTCTACTCGAATTTTTAAGAGTGGATTCAAGATGGATTAAAGACTTAAACGTTAGTCCTAAAACCATAAAAACCCTAGAAGAAAACCTAGGCACTACCATTCAGGACATAGGCATGGGCAAGGACTTCATGTCTAAAACATCAAAAGCAATGGCAACAAAAGCCAAAATTGACAAATTGGATCTAATTAAACTAAAGAGCTTCTGCACAGCAAAAGAAACTACCATCAGAGTGAACAGGCAACCTACAAAATGGGAGAAAAGTTTCGCAACCTACTCATCTGACAAAGGGCTAATATCCAGAATCTACAATGAACTCAAACAAATTTACAAGAAAAATATAACCCCATCAAAAAGTGGGCGAAGGACATGAACAGACACTTCTCAAAAGAAGACATTTATGCAGCCAAAAAACACATGAAAAAATGCTCACCATCACTGGCCATCAGAGAAATGCACATCAAAACCACAATGAGATACCATCTCACACCAGTTAGAATGGCGATCATTAAAAAGTCAGGAAACAACAGGTGCTGGAGAGGATGTGGAGAAATAGGAACACTTTTACACTGTTGGTGGGACTGTAAACTAGTTCAACCATTGTGGAAGTCAGTGTGGCGATTCCTCAGGGATCTAGAACTAGAAATACCATTTGACCCAGCCATCCCATTACTGGGTATATACCCAAAGGACTATAAATCATGCTGCTATAAAGACACATGCACACGTATTTTTATTGCGGCACTATTCACCATAGCAAAGACTTGGAACCAACCCAAATGTCCAACAATGATAGACTGGATTAAGAAAATGTGGCACATATACACCATGGAATACTATGCAGCCACAAAAAATGATGAGTTCATGTCCTTTGTAGGGACATGGATGAAACTGGAAATCATCATTCTCAGTAAACTATCGCAAGGACAAAAAACCAAACACCACATGTTCTCACTCATAGGTGGGAATTGAACAATGAGAACACACGGACACAGGAAGGGGAACATCACACTCTGGGGACTGTTGTGGGGTGGGGGGAGGGGGGAGGGATAGCATTAGGAGATATACCTAATGCTAAATGACGAGTTAATGGGCAGCACACCAGCATGGCACATGTATACATATGTAACTAACCTGCACATTGTGCACATGTACCCTAAACTTAAAGTATGATAATAATAAAATAAATTTAAAGAAAAGAGTGTGGGAACTTTCAGAAGTTTAGCTGATTTATAAGCTCCCCCCAAAATACATGATTACGTATTATATGTGCATATATGTATGTATTTATGTGTGTAAATATGCATAAATACACACTTCATTTGTAATAATGTGCAGTAGACCCTTCAACAACAGGGTTAGGGGTGCTGATCCCCCACATAGTTGAAAATTTTCCTATAAATTTTAACTCCCCCCAAACGTAACTACTAATAGCCTAGCGATGTTAATTGACTGTTGATACTATCAGTAAGGTTTCTTTCGACTGCTTATGTTATCAATAGCATATATTTTGTAGGTTATACATATATATAATATATTCTTACATAATTAGAGAAATAAAATGTTACTTAAAAATTACAAGAAAGAGAAAATATATTTATTTATTAAGCAGAAGTAGATCATCATAAAGTTCTTCATGCTCATCATCACGTTGAGTAGGCTGAGGAGGAGGGAGAAGAGGAAGGATTTGTCTTTCTTTCTCAGCAGTAGCAGAGGCAGTAGAGGTGGAGCAGGTGGAATGGGAAGCATGAGAGACAGGCACACTCACTCTAACTTTTAGTGAAAAAGTCTGCTTATAAGTGTGTCCATGAAATTGAAACCCCTGTTGTTCTAGCATCATCTGTGTATAAAAAGCAACTAATTAAAGAGTTTTATTTTGAAGTAGTATACTTCAGTTTTCTTTTTGTTCACTAATTTCATTTGATACATTTCCCTTATCACTATCCTCAACCTTTTTCAAAGAGCTCTGCCATAATTGACAGTTTGGGGAGTTGCAGTAAGTGCTTTGCTTTTTGTTCTTAGAGAAGAATAGTAACTCTTGGTGATGCTTTCTGGACTCTGAAGCAACATTATGCAAAACACAGGTGATTCTGTTTTGCCTCTGGACAAAGTAAGGTGGTTCACTCTATGCCATTCCCAGGTGTTTATTACTTAATGTTGTGGGCTTGGGAAGGTTATTCTTCATTTAGACTCTAAAACAAGTCAGATATAATAATGCACATTGAGCACTGTGGGGGAAAAAAAAAAACAAAAAAACAAACAAACAAAAAACATAGTAAGCAAAGGCCGGGCGCAGTGGCTCATGGCTCATGCCTGTATTCCCAGCATTTTGGAAGGTCGAGGTGGGCTGTTCGCTTGAGGCCAGGAGGTCGAGACCAGCCTGGCTAACATGGGGAAACCCCGTATCTATAAAAATACAAAAATCAGGCAGGTGTTGTGGTGGTGCTTGTAATCCCAGCTAGTCACATGGCTGAGGCAGGAGAATCGCTTGAACCTGGGAGACAGAGGTTGCAAGTGAGCCGAGATCGCACCACTGCACTGCAGCCTGGGTGACAGAACGAGACACTGTCTCAAAAATAAACAAATAAATAAAAAAAATTAGTAACCAAAGTACGAGACAACCTCTTCCTTAGGCTTAGCATTTTACTATTTTAGAGGAAAGTATCTCACAGGATACCTGTATCAGTGTAATGCAGTAGCTATGGTTCTCAAGAAAGGCATTTACTACTGAAATTGCCGTTAATTTCAATTTACTTTTCCTTTGAAAGAGAGAAAGGGTTGTGAATACCAGTAAATTGTGCTTGAATGAGTGAGCCCTAATCAACCATGATGTTTCTATCGCTGGAGCCTGGGAGAAGGCTCCCTCCATCTCTCCAGGCCACTACTGCAATTTAATCAGAATGGCACATGTGATAGTATCCATTTTCTTTCTATGTGCTAAACAGTTCTTACAGCTTGGTTAAAGCATTTCTTTGTACATGAATGAGCCATAATTATTTGCCAAAAGCTTTCCCAAAATGTTTTAAACTCTAATTTTGTCCTAATCCATGTATTGATAAAGATAACTCTGATTTCTATTATAAAAAGTCCAGTTGTATTTCCAATTTATTTTCTCCATGAAAATGGGATTTTATTTCTATTACAATTTATTTGTTTGTTGGTTTGTTTATATTTATACTAACACTATCCTCTAAATATTTCCCTTAGAATTTTTCTTCAGATAATTATGATAAGAATAATTTTAATATACTTACAAGCTCTAACTTCTATTTAACTGTGTTTTAAAAGGTTTGTATTATTAAATCCTTCCATTTAAAGTATTACTATTTTTTAAACTTCAAAAATGGTTTCTTGAAACTTACCCAGATAACTGAAAAATCAGAGTAGAAATTAGTACACAATTCTACAATTTATTTTAGCACTGATAATCAAAATTATCGTGATAGCTAAGATTCCTAGTTTCAAAAGTAATAGCTCTGTGTATTCCTGTTCTACTGTTGACCCATTTTACTCTTAGGCTGCATTTGCCTTTTCTTTCATAACCTAACTGAGCAATTCTGTGTTTGTGATTATGTTATTAGGTCTGTCTTTCTCCGGGACCTTTCCTTCATACTGTCTTTGTGTTGGGTAGCAGTAAAATGGGCTATGCATGAATGAACCTTCAGCCAAACAGGCCTTCAGTGCTTCAGAGCCACTCGTGGTTAACTGCTCCTTAAATCATTTCAGCAGACAATCATAATACTCAATAGAACAAATATACTAATCTTAAACCTTCACACTCTCTGGCACATAAAACATCTGCTTAGACTCAGGGGAACTTATAAGGATTTTTCAGTCTCTTTATCTAAATGTAGAACTGCACCTAACCTAGATACACAAAAGGGAATCAAGAGAAAATTATGATGCCTATGAACGTAAAACTCATGTACTTGTTATGGTATCATATGCCACTCCCTAGCCACTCCCTAAGCCTCAACTAATTTTCTTTGTCCAGAATCCTAATTAATCTAACTGCCCAAAGCAGAGAATAGTAGGGAAATTTAACAAAACTGAAGATATAGGATGTGAATGTAGTAAAAAAGTAATTGCTAGAAAGCTAGTGTTCCCTGAACCTGTATATTCTCATCCTGCCATATTTGTATAAAATTTCCCCAACAGTTTAATTAACTTTAATAGTGTAAAGAATCAGGGAAGTCATTCAGTTATCGATGCAAATAAAAAGATCAATACTGCTTCACTTGATTCAGAAAAAATGTACAAGATACAATGCTTGATAGAGAGTGTATTAAGGGTGTGAGTCATTGTTTCGATATGGAATTAGAAAGAATGAGAACATGCATTTCTGATTAAGGTTTCTGTTTTATAATTTACATTCATGTGCTATTTCAGTTTGTATTTTATAAATACTTAAACATATTTAAACACACTTGTTCCTTTGTATCTTGATAGAGTAACTGATTTAGTAAAGCATTCAACACTTGAGATGACTTTAGTAACATTGGCTGTTGACATTTTAGCTAATAGAGTATAAATAAAAAATGAGAAATGGGCCTAAGATCTCAATACTTTATTTTCTCTTTCTGTTGCTGGGAAAGAAACCCAAAATTAATTATTTAAACATTTACTTTGAGCTTACTTTGTGCAAATAATGATATTACTGGAGGAATGGATAAAGGCAAAGATCATTAAATTCTGCATGTTAAACCTAAATAACTTCAAAATGTAGAGAATTTATCCTTCCTAGATCCTAAAGTAAACGACAGAAGAGTAGGAAAAGAGTGATCCATACAAAAACATAGATTTTCAACAATTAAAATTAATTAAATGTGGTAAATTTACAAATTGGATGCTATTAAGTTTTACATATCTAATTTGTAAACAGAGAGACAATGTCTTAATGACTATACTAGACCCTTATATGCCAGGATTTTTCTTTATGGACTAATGAATCCAAATTTTATTTACTGTTACCATGAATCATTTTGAAGAAATTTGTTGAAATTACAAGTAATATCCCTTATTATTCATCACCGAATTTTCTGAAATTGACCTCAGAATGTGCCCTAGAATTAATCAACAGTTTTAGCACTCATACATATTAATCTTAACTCTAATTAAATTATATTCACTTTTTTCCAAGCCTCCCAAACTTCTTTTGAGTGGGACAATAATATATAATCTCTGTTGAAATTCTAGAAAAATAACTCTGATATGTTATTTAGTCATGTGGTCACAGAAAATGTGAGCCTACATTGCAGCCATGAACCAAACCCAGGGAGCATGTAGGACAACTTGCAAAGGGGTGAGGAAGAGAGGAGCCCATGCTCTGGGCCAGGCTGGTCTGCTGATAACTGGTGGGCACCAGAATACTCTGACTTCTTTTCTAGGGAAGGCTGAGGAGGCCTAGATGTGGATTAGGGAAAAGGTGCATGTATGGTGGTGGCTGGTGAAATGTCACACCTGGTTGAGTCAACTGATGGCTATAGATGAATTTTATTTTCATCAGTGCTTTGCCATTTCTCTTTTTATCACCAAAATCTTCATGTGTATTCCCAACATGCATATTGCTCTCCCCTCTGCCTTCACCCAACTTTGATAAAATAGGCCTCAATGTTCAAGGTGGAGTATGATGAGTAAGGAATGGTGCACAAGGATTGTGAAAGTCCGTCATTTTTCCTGGCCCTTTGATGTAGTGTACAGTTCACTTAATTGCAGTGCATATCAAGCTCATTCTGCTGAAAATAGAAACAAAACATCAACAATGATTATACTCTTTTGTTCATTTCCTCATTTATTAAATAAGTGTTTATTGAGTATTTACATGGTCCAGCCTTGAAAATAAATAAGTATAAAAATATGATCAATCATTAAGACATGGCCTGATTGATTACAATACACACAGAATCTCAATGGATGCACGAAATTCAGATAAAATGATGAATGTTACTTTATTATGAGCAGATTGGAAGGACAATTGTTGAATTTCTCTCCACTTTATTATTGAAAATGGGGCCAGGCGCCGTGGCTCACGGCTGTAATCCCAGCACTTTGGGAGGCTGAGGCGGGCAGATCACCTGAGGTCAGGACTTGGAGACCAGCCTGGCCAATATGGTGAAACACTGTCTCTACTAAAACTACAAAAGTTAGCCAGGCATGTTGAGATGCACCTATAGTCCCAGCTACTCGGAGGCTGAGACAGGAGAATTGCTTGAATCTGGGAGGCAGAGGTTGCAGTGAACCGAGATTGCGCCACTATACTCCAGCCTGGCTGACGGAGTGAGACTCTGTCTCAAAAAAAAAAAAAAAAAAAAAAGATATATTTCTTTTCTTTCTTATTTCATGTAAAATTATTAAATGTTGGCTTCATTTGATAATGTTGAAGATCTGTCAGATCAGATAAAAATTGAAATATTTATGACATACTTGTATTCGAGCAGAAAAACAGCAGTAAGTTGTTTTCAGTGAACTAATCTATTGTAATCTATTGTTACTGAATGGATACTAAGTCCACATAACACAATGGGCTTATTTGTCCAGTTAATTGGTATTTCTCAAATGCAAATGCACTTAATATGGTTTATAGGTGTTTAGTGATATGTTAGTAATCCAGTCCTCATTCAAATATACCTTTTGGCAATTGAAAGATCTTAGTCAAGAAATGTACAGTTTAGATATTTTCATATGGCAAATCTAAATTATGTAAATCCTCATAACTTATTTTCATGAAGGGCCTTTTGGGTGAAGACTCTTTGAATGAATGTCCTCACGGGTAATCAAATTGAGCATGAATGATTCATCACTTTCCATCCTTCATAGCTCCTTCTTACAAGGAGAGGACTGCAATTCTCTCTTATAAACCCAAAAGTAGGGATAGATGAATTACCTGTTGAGCAGCTATTATACCCTTGATGTGTGCATCTGCTCATGTTTCCAACACAATGCTTCTTCCACTGATGTTGAATGCTGTCCAAGGAAATTGCACTAATTTGTGTCCTGTTGCTCTCTCTAATCAGTTAGATTAAAAAGATTCTAAAGAGCAAGTGCATGAAAGAATGCCTATGGCTTTGAGCAAATGTCTCCAGGTCCCTGTTTTCAAGAGACTGACTGCTAAAATTGTGCATCAGGGATATAAAATCAATTCTAAAAATAATTCCATTCATATTCAATTTTCCATTCTTTTGTGTAACTAAATAGAAAATGTTTCATTTCACATTAACTTAGCTAACTTCTCCATGACTCTTACCACTACTACATATTACTTCATTATACTATATGGCTCCTCTTGTTATTCAGAACCTGGGTCCCCCCATTTCTTCCTGGACTGATTCTAAAACTCAGTTTTTTTTCCCTCCTTTAGAGGGCTCACTTCAGGATAGACTTTCATTGTGAAGCAATGATAAATGACATTGACTTCTCATCATTTTTTCTCTCACCCTGTTTTCACTTTACATTGTCTGTATGTTTTCAATATGCCGACATAGACAGCACACCACAAAACCTTGGGAGATTTGCATGGCTCTCATTTTATAAGGCAGGTACCTAAAGCACAAATCTCACATACAAGTTAACAGAGATCAATTACTGTCCGGAAATACATTAGTATTTGCATTGATTATGCTTGTGAGCATGACTTACATGCGTATAGATTCATGTGAGGATGTTGGTACAGTATTGCTTGTTTTCTCATTTAACATATTTTGTGATCTATGAATGTCAATATATAAAAATGTAATTCAATTCTTTCTCTCTCTCTCTTTCTTTCTTTTTTTTTTTTTTTTTTTTTTGTTATTTTGAGACAGGGTCTCACTCTGTTGCCCAGGCTGGAGTGCAATGGCACATTCTTGGCTCACTACAACCTCCGCCTCCTGGGTTCAAGCGATTCTCCTGCCTCAGCCTCCAAAGTAGCTGGGATTACAGGCATGTTCCGCCATGCCAGGCCAGTTTTTTGCATTTAGTAGAGATGGGGTTTCACCATGTTGGTCAGGCTGATCTCGAACTCCTGACCTCAGGTGGTCCACCTACCTCAGCCTCCCAAAGTGCCAGGATTACAGGCGTACACCACTGTGCCTGGCCCTCAATTCATTTTAACTGCTCTGTGTTGTTCCACTCTTTAAATAAACCACATTTTCTGTTAATGAAAATTCATGTTTTGTCCCCAATATTTTACTATTACAGAAACATATTTGAACATCTTTTCTTCTTTATAAATGTTGGGGTTTCTGTAACATGTATACACAAATTATGGAAAATAAGGTATACATATTTTCACTTTAACAGCTATTTTCTTAATTTCTCTTCAAAGTGATGGTACTAATTCATATGGACACAACCAGTTTTTAAGGATTCTGGTTTCACCTTGTATTTTCCCATCACTTGCTATTTCCATTCAACTCAAAGTAGCCATACCTGTACATCTCTTTTTGGAATCTCTATTATATTCCAGTGGTTTACTTCTTTACCCCTATATAAGCATCTGGAATAATTCAGCTTTAACAAATATTGACATCTTAAAAGGTAACTACTGATTTTACTTTTCCCAAAATTATTTATTCTCCAGTCTTCACTAATGAACACAAATTTATTTTCATTTTGAAGCAAAAAATCAGTTTGCTCTAATTCAAAGTTAGAAAAGTAATTTGGTGGCTAATAAGGATATAACTATATTCTGAGAAAACAAAATTATTTTCTGTAAATATAATCACAAACCATCCTCTTTTAATGAAAACCGTTATTTTTATAAAATAATTTTATTTTTGTGCGTTCTTGATGTATTCACTTTCAAGAAGTTATTTTTAATTTCATATTTTTTCAGTGTTGCTCAGTTTTCTCCAAATTCACTGTATGAGTTTTGCATTCCTGTTTTCTTGCTTTTTCTTTGCCTGAAATATTACTGTAGTGGGTAAATTCTTTCCTTCCCATGATAAGGATAATGGCTGAAATTTCTATTAGTAAAAACAAATTAACCAAAGAAAAACATAACTAATTAATTTGACCACAGTTTTACATGACCATGGAGTGTTCAGATTGAAGCCCCAAAGATACAGTGTAAGTATTCTGATTTTATTCTTAGGTTCAATAAAGGAGGAACAACCATGTAGAAATGTGATTGGAGAGAAAGGGTTTGAGCTGATGGCAACAGAGTGGGGAAACCTAGCAAGTCCTGTCTGCTCAGATTCTTCTTTGCCTCTTGTTAGAGCATTTCTTCTTCCCTGGTACATGGCAGGATCCCTCTGGAATGAGGGTCTTTATTTATTTATGGCCAGCTTACACAGAAAGCTGGGGGAAAGTTAGAGTAATACCTTTATGCTTTATGGCTGGCTTTAGGGAAAGTGATTCTGGTTTCTATGAACCACTTTGAGGAAAAGGAATTCTTGTTTCTTTGGCTTGCCTAAGGGGAGAATAAGGGTGGCAGATTGAGGGTAGGACAAAGTCAGCAAGAATCTTTGCTTCTGAGGCTGCTGCAGAGGCCTTCGTTTTGGAGTATCGTTTTCTGAGCCCCAACATCCGCATCTTGGCTTATTCTTTATTCATTACAATCCTAAAGGTTATATGAAACCTGCATCAAATGCTTCTGTGAAGCTAGAGAGTGATCAGTCCCTTGATCACATTCCTAGAGCATCTATTACTCATGTGGAGATTATCAACAGTGTTTGGATTGCTGCTATGGGACCCATAGCTCCCAGGAGTTTCAATGACTAAGCACCTCCCTAGCCCTCCCTGTAGTGTATGCATGTATCCTCTGTGCAAATTTCCTTAAGGACATCTAGTTCCTAGCTCCCTTCTATGGCTTAAAGGAACTCACCTTCTCAGAGTTAGGCCATTTTATTTTTTCATGGTCTAATCAGAAAACTCTTCCATTTCTTATTTATGGTGTTTCTCAAACACTAACCAATTCCTATAAGCTTCCTAAGATTCCCCATATTCACATACTACTTATACTATTCGTTGAATATTTTTCATTAAATCAACTTACTACCCTTATTTAAGTAAATGCATTTAAAAGAATTTTTTACACTGATGCTGGAAATTGGGAACCAGTCTCTCCTGCCATAAGAGAACAGAAAAGATAAATACAATAAAAATAAGACAAAGTTATTATAATCCAAGTAGAAAGATACTGTTTGGATGAAAAATTCTCTAATAGCTCTTTCGTTGAGGAGAAAGGTAGGAGAAATTGGTAATGTGTTTAATAGAATAAAAAAAGACTTGCGGCCGGGCGCAGTGGCTCATGCCTGTAATCCCAGCACTTTGGGAGGCCGAGGCGGGCGGATCACGAGGTCAGGAGATCCAGACCACGGTGAAACCCCGTCTCTACTAAAAATACAAAAAAAATTTAGCCGGGCGCGATGGAGGGCTCCTGTAGTCCCAGCTACTCCGGAGGCTGAGGCCGGAGAACGGCTTGAACCCGGGAGGCGGAGCTTGCAGTGAGCCGAGACAGCGCCACTGCACTCCAGCCTGGGCGACAGAGCGAGACTCCGTCTCAAAAAAAAAAAAAAAAAAAAAAAAAAGACTTGCTAAGAAAGCTTGGAGGCAAATTTAAAAGGGAATCGAAGTTGTTTCATGTTATGCTTATTTGCTATCTGAAGTGGTTACACTTGCCACATATAATAACTACCTACCACCAGTAGTACAAATCTCACATATGGAGAAGCACAAATTACATTCATTTGCATATTTCTTTATAGATACTAAATCTGTAACAAATGAACATTAGAGACAGTGTATTATATGTTGTGATATTTAAAATGCTTTGCATGTATAGGTATTTAGTAAATATTCATTGCAGAAACAGCCTGACATGGTTAAGAAAACAGAAACATCAACAGTAACTCCCATATCAAAAAAAACAGACCTGGATTTAAAAATCTGGTTTCTATTCATTTGTGGGACTTTGAGTGTGTTAAATTTTTGGAGCTTGTTGAGTATGTTACATTTTTGGAGCTTGTTCATTACTAAAAGAGAGTTGGTGATACTTTAATTGAGTGGTACAGATGTATGAAGGAAATGATCTGTATAAAGGGGAGGCGTGGTACTTTGCTCATGGACTGAGTAGGGTATGGCTTTGAAAGTGAGTTCAGGAATCAAAAGCCTCCTCCTATGTCTCCTGCCCCTGCTAGTTCTTGCAAAAATTCCTTAACTTCTCAAGGTCTTATTTTCCTTACTTTATAAAAAAGGGATAATAATAATAAACTTCCCTCTCTGGGTTCGGTGAGGATTAAATGAGTTAACACCTGTGGGCATTAGTGCCTGGCACATGGTAATCTCATTTGATTGTTTGCTACTAATATTATTATTATTGTTGTTAATTCTCTTTCTTCCTTTGAATGAAGGATTAGTCAGTGTTAAGATGTGTAGTACTAAAAAGGATTCCTTTTCATTTTGTTACAGAAAATTATTGGCGATATGAATAAATTACTTCATTTCACTTTATTTTCAGATTATAAAGGAATGGTTAGCCTTTTTGGAAATATAAAAAAAGATAAGCTTGGCATTAACTATCTGGTAGAGAGCAGTAAAATACTGTTGAAATGCAAAATGCTGTAGATATTAGCAGAACATGTATTAATGCAATTTCATCTTAATGCTGTATCATGAAAACAATTTAATGAATAAGTGCTTTTAAATTCATCCTTAAATTCATGTAATGTTTCAGGTGAATTTTAATATGTGGATTTTCACTCTTTCAAATTTTTAAGTATTTTAAACAATCAGATAATTGTTATTATTTCTTTTCCTATTCATTCCAACCTACCTTTTCTATAGTAATGTGTACATTAAGTAAATAATATAAATAAATAAACAAGCAAGTATCATGGACTGCATTGGCTGTTGGTACTTTAGTTAGTCTCAGAACCAGCAGTTGACATAATTTTAAACTGTCTTGTTTTATATGCATGTGGTCAAACTCCTTCAATATTCGTGCTGTTTCTCGATTTTAAGTTAGGTAATTTTAAACCAGTTAAATGTAATATACAAACGTCACTAATTTATAATATGGTCAAGGCCTTTTCAGATCATTAGGCAGAAGACAGAATTAAATATTATAGCTTGGAATATAGAGCTCGAAGCCTCTGGAGAAAATGCATTTTTACAAATAATTAATTTTGTAAAATGCAGTCAGAAAAAAAAATTTATACATTGAGAGTATCTAAAATCAAGCTTTGGAAAAAGTTTTGGAGCATGTGCTTTGGTCACCACACAGAATATTAATAGGAATAATCAGATAGTTGGGCATACCACAGCCAGATCTGTATACTCAGCTAATTGCCTGCCTCCGTGGACAGGTGTTGCTAAAAACAGTGACTACTTGGTTTGATTACAGCAACATTAATGCAAATACATTTGCAATTGTTGATATGGTTTGGCTCTGTGTCCCCACCCAAATCTCTTCTCAAACTGTACTCCTCTTGTGCCGAGGGAGTGACCTGGTGGAAGGTGACTGGATCATGGATGCGGTTTGCCCCATGCTGTAATCATGAGATCTGCTCTTTCTGTAAGTGGCGGTTTCCCCTGCTATCTCCCTTTCCCGCCACCTTGCAGACAAGGTACTTGCTTCTCCTTCACCTTCCACCAAGATTGTAAGTTTCCTGAGGCCTCCTCAGCCATGTGGAACTGAGAGTCAAACCTCTTTCCTTTATAAACCCAGTCTCAGGTGTTCTTTATAGCAGTGCGAAAACTGACTAATACACCTGTCAAGGTAATGACTAATCTCGATGAGTGAGAAAAGTATGAAAGTCATTTTATTTATTTAATATCTGTAAAATTATTGTATTTTACATACATAACCATTTTAAATTCTTTCTTATCGCTTCTAGTCATTTCAGATATATTAACTGATTGAAAGTTGTTTTCAATTGCACAATACTGGAATAAAATAAAACTCTTTAAAAGCTTATGGAAATAAGAGGCAGATAGGGGTTGAAAGTGAGTTATATGAAATAGTCTCTTAGGTTATTCATATCACATTGAATATTGAATATTTGTTACATTTCCAAAATCTGGAGGTATGCATTTTTCAGTACTTTGTTCTCTGATTTAAATTCTTGAAAGTCAGTAATAACAAAGCTATCAATTTCCTTCAGAAATTCTAAATATTACATAATTTTTCTTAGAAAATATATTCACTGACATGATGAAGAAGGAAAAGCTCTATGAAAAAATATTTATATCTTAGATAAGCTGTTATACATTTCCACATTTAATATTTACATAAGTTTCTAAGGTAGGTGAATCTACCCTTGCATAAATAAACCACTCAGAAAGAACAAATATACTTAGTGTGACATAAATAGCAAGAAGAGTATTGAAATTTAAGATTTCATTAACTCCATCCTCTGACTATCACACCTTATATTCTTGTTGAGGAAGACTTACCTCAAAGATTCAGGAGAAATGACAAATTTTATTCAATCAGAACTTACTGAATACCTGCTGAATGCATAACCACATGATGGGACAAATGGTAGCTACAAAGTCATTTGTTTATTCAGTAAGTATTATTGAGCACCTACCTGCTCTGCTTGAAGGAGTTACATGTGTAAACAACCCCAAAGTCCCGGTCTTCATATGGCTTATATTCTAATGGACGTGACAGAAAATCAACAGATAAATATTTCATTTGATGCTAGGCAGAGATAAATACTTCCAAAAAGAAACAAATCAGGGAGATGAAGGTAATGAGGAATGGAGGGTTGCTATGTTATTTTGTATGAAGTTGTCATGGTAGGGCTGGCTGAAAAAAAAAAAAAAGATTCCAGTGCCCCATGAGATTCTGGTCCTCCTCACTTCTTTGGCCTCACTTTGGCATTTGACCTCTCTGGTCCGGCTGCATCTGCCTCCCCACTCCACCCTGAACAAGTATTTCAGCCCCCACCCACCTGAAATGTTCTTACCTCAATGGCTGCAAAGCTCCCTCCTTCACGACCTCCTGGACTTTACTCAAAACTTCAGTTTTCAAAGAGGCCTCGACAGGCTGCCCTATCTAAATTATAACACTTATTTTTATTTTCCTCCTTCCTTGGCATTCTTGAGCTCCTCTTAACATCTCACTTACCATATGTTACATTTATGTTTTCTTCACTGTCTGTGTCCATCAAGAGAATGTAGACCCCATGATGACAGGGATTTTTGTTTGCTCATGTCACTATTCTATCCATAGCTTCTAGAAGAGTGCTTCCTGAGTGAAAATGCTAAGTTAATTTTTGTTTAATACATAAATAAACATGATATTTGTGTTTTGAAAATATATTTCTTGAAGCTAAGGAAAGAAACAAGAAATAAAGCAGAAGCTGTAAAACTGTAAAATTATTTTGGTATAACAGAAATCCTGAAACAGTAAGGACCCACACAAAGAGATCTATGTGAAAAGTATGAGAAATAAAAAATAATGGAGCTATTTAACTCTGAAGAAGAATATAAGATCTAAGCATCAGTAAAATTATTTGATTTTCAGCTGCAATGAATTAAAATACTGTGCACTGTCAACAGAATCAGTGAAACCATAATGACTAAATAGCTCAATTTTATATATTATATTTAATGTGATTCAGAAGCCTCCTAATTTACAGTAGTATTGATTCAGACATGGGGGTTATATTTAAAGTTAGAATGAAAGATGTTTTCAAATAATATTGACTCGAAAGCTTCCTTTACCAGTCTTGTTATGTCATCTGGCACAATACATGATAAGAAACAGGTACAGCTTTTCCAATTTCCAAATAAAAAAATGTCTATAACTGTGGAATATTTTGACTCAAATACAATTTCACTTCCTCCCACCATGCCCCTGAATATGTTTCCAATTGCTTGAATTATACTCTTTCTGCACATATTCATCCATCCATACAGTCAACAAATATATATTGAATTATTTAATGAAGCCCATGGATGTAATGATGGAGTAAATGGCACTACGGTGATTCTCAAAGTGCTTGCTCCCTTTTCTGAGTTATAATGAAAATCAATTTAACTTTAACTGAATTCAACAATAAAACCTCTAGGAAAATGCCTGACAGGAAGAAGCAGGCAATCAACAAAAGTGATTTTTCATATCTTTTGTCATTTACAGAGTGCCTAGCTCTGTGTTTGCTGGTAGGAAGACTCTGAAAGAATTGCAAGCAAAGGAGTTTATAATCCTATGGTGAGCTAACACAAAAAAAATCATAAAGCAACAGAAAAGAGTATGACATATAAATCCTCCAAAAGTCTCAGTCAAGAACAACTAAGCATCTTCTTTAGTTTTTTTTTTTTTTTTCTGATAATGTATTTTTTTTTTTTCAAAACGATCAATTCTTTCTTTCTTTAAATTTAAGTTCTGGGATACATGTGCTGAATGTGCAGGTTTGTTACATACGTATACATGTGCCATGGTGGTTTGCTGCACCTATCAACCCATGATCTAGGTTTCAAGCCCTACATGCATTAGGTATTGTCCTGATGCTCTCCCTCCTCTTTCTCCCCACCCCCGGACAGGCCCCAGTGTGTGATGTTCCCCTCCCTGGATCCATGTGCTTTCATTGTTGAATCCCACTTTTGAGTGAGAATATGCGGTGTTTGGTTTTCTGTTCCTGTGATAGTTTGCTGAGGATGATGGTTTCCAGCTTCATCCATGTGCCTGCAAAGGTTCTTTAGTTTCTTAATACCAACACTGAAAGGAGGTTGATCATATTGTGTCCAGAATTGGTGGGTTCTTGGTCTCACTGACTTCAATAATGGAGCCGCGGACCCTCGCGGTGAGCGTTATAGTTCTTAAAAGCGGCATGTCCAGAGTTTTTTCCTTCTGATGTTTGGATGTGTTCGGAGTTTCTTCCTTCTGGTGGATTCGTGGTCTCTCTGGCTCAGGAGTGAAGCTGCAGACCTTCGCAGTGAGTGTTACAGCTCTTAAGGTGGTGCGTCTGGAGGTGTTCATTCCTCCCAGTGGGTTCGTGGTCTCCCTGGTTTCAGGAGTGAAGCTGCAGACCTTCACGGTGAGTGTTACAGCTCATAAAGACAGTGTGCACCCAAAGAGTGAGCAGTATCAAGACTTATTGCAAAGAGCGAAAGAACAAACCCTCCACACTGTGGAAGGGGACCCCAGCTGGTTGCCACTGCTGGCTTAGGCAGCCTGCTTTTATTCTCTTATCTAGCCCCACCCACATCCTGCTGATTGGTCCATGTTACAGAGAGCCGATTGGTTTGTTTTGACAAGGTGCTGATTGGTCCATTTTGACAGGGTGCTGATTGGTGCGTTTACAATCCCTGAGCCAGACACAAAAGTTCTCCATGTCCCCACTAGATTAGCTAGATAAAGAGTGTCCACTGGTGTATTTACAAACCTTGAGCTAGATACAGAGTGCCGATTGGTGCATTCACAATCCCTTAGCTAGACATAAAGATTCTCCAAGTCCCCACTAGACTCAGGAGCTCAGCTGGCTTCACCCAGTGGATCCCGCACTGGTGTGGCAGATGGAGTTGCCTGCAAGTCCCAAGCCGTGCGCCTGCACTCCTCAGCCCTTGGGCGATCCATGGGACCCGGCGCTGTGGAGCAGGGGGCGACTCCCTGGGGGGGCTCCGACGCCACCAGAGCCCATGGGGAAGAGGGAGGCTCAGGCATGGCGGGCTGCAGGTCCCGAGCCCTGCCCCACTGGGAGGCAGCTAAGACCCAGGGAGAAATTGAGCACAGCCCCGGGGAGCCGGCACTGCTGGGGGACCTGGTGCACCCTCCGCAGCTGCTGGCCCGGGTGCTAAGCCCTTCACTGCCCGGGGCCGGTGGGGCCAGCTGGCGGGGCCAGCCGGCCGCTCTGAGTGTGGGGCCTGCCGAGCCCACAGCCGCCCACCTGGAACTCGCACTGGCCCGCAAGCACCGTGTGCAGCCCCGGTTCCTGCCTGTGCCTCTCCCTCCACACCTCCCCGCAAGCTGAGGGAGCCAGCTCCGGCCTTGGCCAGCCCAGAAAGGGGCTCCCACAGTGCAGCGGCGGGCTGAAGGGCTCCTCAAGTACGGCCAGAGTGGGCGCCAAGGCCGAGGAGGTGCCGAGAGCGAGCGAGGGCTGTGAGGGCTGCCAGCATGCTGTCACCTCTCACTATCATGTAAAACAAAAGAAGAAGGTAGCATCAGTCATTTTCTCTTTTCCTTTTTCATCTTTGGTGGAAAGGCAAATTGTACTCATGATATAGGTGTACCTCAGTTGTAAGTAATGATGAGTAAAGCTTTCACCTTTCTTGGGTCCATTGTCTCTTGTATGGTCTCTACTGAGATCCGCCAGTGGAGAGCAGAGAATCAGGGTCTGGCCTCAGTAGGGAATCGACCCAGCAGGGATGGAGAGATCTACCCACACTGGCCCCATCTTATGATGGCCATTCGGCCACTTTTTACTTCCTTGTTTGTGCCATTGAATGCTGTACTCCTTCCCATTTCCTGTCTGCCTCTACCTTGTTATATCAATATTCGGGCTTATCTTTTTTCTCTTTTAAAATGTAAATAATTCAAGAGAATAAAAATAAAATTATTAGTCCAACTGCTTTCTCTTTATCTAAATAGTCAGCATATAATAATATTCTGATTAAACACTTATTTTAGTTAGACTTTGTTGGTCTCTGCAAGATCTTCTGTTTCATTTGTTTAAAGCAGTTCATTTTAAATTAAAACATATTCATTGTGAATTTGTCCTTTCATCTCCATAAGTGAGATAACCCAAAGCAGAACGAATTTCCCATAGATTTATTATCCATTTGAAAATTTTACATCAAAATAAATTTGACTACACTATAAATAATTTACATGAATCTGGTAAAATGTAAAGAAGTTTGTCAGAGTGGAAAAAAAAATGACGTTCCAATAAGGTATTTTGAAAATTGTTTGCAAGATTTTTCATAACCATTGGTGTCTTTCTCTTTATTATCAGTGTTATGGAAGCCATCCTCTATTATCTTTTTTCTCATTACCTTGTTCTGCTTGGTGTTAGAATACAAGACAATATCCCCTCCTCTTTCTGGATATGTTTTCTTACCATTGTTTTTCAAATATGTTTTCTTGTTAATCCTTACTGTTTGAAGTAGTGTGGGCTTTCTGCTTGCCCAGTTAAGCTCTCCTGCTGCGTTTCTGGCCAATTTGTTTTTCCTTAAAGATTTTTCCTTCTTCCCCTGCTGTGAACATGCAGCAGGACTCACCAATGAGTGTCTCATGCTTGCAATTTTAGTGTAAATGGTGCCCGTGGACTGTCTTTGTTGTTTTATCTCTCCATGTTGATAACCTCTGAGCAGGAAAAAGACTACCTTGGGCTCCTTCAAAATTGCATTAATGGCTAAGTATTTCTATTCTTATTAGCAGAAAAGCTCTGAGAATGAAATGATTTCAAAGTTAAAAGCCCAAATGTAAACCTGTGCCTAAATAAATGTCAAAAAAAAAAAGTCATTGCATTTTCATCCAATGAAATACTGGATAACTATTTCCCACATAAAACTGTCTAATTTTAGGATGTATGAGGTATGTAAAGAAAACTAAGAATGACTGAAAAAAATTATTTTTTAAATGTCCACATTTTAAATAAAAGTTGTTTTCATCTGGGAATGTTTCCCTTTTAGTGCCTATTCAGTTTTCTCTTTTCTGTCAGGCTTGGCTAGAATCATCTATTTCCTGTCTCAAGAGGCAGCACATTTGACTCAGATATCTTTCATCATTCTTGAAATTCAGTTGCTAGGTTGCTTCTTTTCCGTGCTGCAAAACCTGACTACAGCATTTTCCATAAACCAAGTAGAAAAAAAAAATCCACTCCAAATGGCCGTTTTTCTTATACAGCAAATTTTGACTATCATTATGCTGAAATGTCCCTTTGAGCATTAAGTATCATAGATAGGGAGAAGTTTAAATTGCCGTGGTAAGTAGGCTTTACTGTATTGTTTCAATCTCTCTCAACATTAGTAGCTGTTTAGAGACTCATTTTGTTGGAGCAGAAAACAAAATGCCTTTCTGGTATGGAAAGTTCACACCACATAATTTGGACCCTTCAAGCATTATGTTTTAAAAATTCTATTTCAACCATGTCTTTAAAAGTTAATTCCAATAAAAATACTTCTACAGTACTTAAGTAGGGGATCACTAGCTAAGGGGTAGACGATACATTTTAAAAATGAGTACTTTTACTAGTTAAAATGAAAAGAGTACTTTAACATCCTCCTTTTCTACTCCCAGATTGCCTTTATATATGTCAATGTAATATGCATTTGAGCTTTGAGGAAACTGGGACAGAGAGAGGCTAAGTGACTTTCCCTAAGACGCACAGAAGGCAATGGACAAGCTGGGATCTGAACTCAGTAAGTCTAGGACTGCATTTTAAACTATTGTGTCGCATTCCTTGCCTGAATAAACAACAGATGACTGATATTGTAGCGTTAAATCTAAATATGATCAACACCTAATGAACAGTGACAGCAACATGATTTACCACTTCTCCTGGAATATCAACACTCCCAGTAAGGAACTGAAGAGGTTTTGGAATCCAGATTAAATTTGCATGGTCACAAGGATGTTGCATGTTGCTATTTCAGCACGCCAAATGCTAGCTTCATCATCAGAAATTAAAAGCAATTTCTCAAATTATCTATCTTGCTATCCAGGACTCACATGCTTCTCTTTTATATTCATATTTCCCATAACAGGGAACACAGGTCTAAACAGAAATTAGAGGCTCAATTTATATTTTAATTTTAAGGAATCAAATTAGTGAGTGAGAAGAGCAAATAATTTACTGTTTACCTCCAACATTTGTGCATGTCTCTCCTCATTATATTCAGGGTTTACGTGAGTAATATTATAAATTGTTAAATGTAATATTTTTAAAAAATTATATCAATTATATTTTTCAATATACAATTGCATTCTGTTTTTGACTTTATCTTTTGACTACTTAGTGATAAAATTTGGACTAGAGATAATAGGTTCTCAACAGCTGGACTTAAATTAACTTTATTACTTCCTCAAGCTTTTGTACAAAGCTCGAGAGTTCTTTTTGTCTTCTTGATGAAACTTGGATTTTTAAAAGCTATGTACCAGATCTCACCTCTAAACTTAGTTCTTATTGCCAGTTTTAAATTTTTCAGATCCCTACACTTACAGGGTTATAAAGAAGCAAACCTGTGGCACACATTTAGGTGGGATAATTTATTCATCCTTTCAGACAATATTTCTGCCTTACAGAAAATAAAACAAGGCATTCTATTGATAGTTTGTATTTAGACCCTTAATATAGCCAACAACAACTTAAACGAATTGTCTTAGGCATTGTACATTTCCTTAACGACTTTTTTCTTTCTGTCCACTCACACCTATTAACAGGAGTCATTTATTTTAGCCTTTGCCGTCTATCCAGAAAGAAGCCATATCTCATAATATTCTCTTATGCCCTCCTTCTTCCACTTCCATTTTAGAAAATAAAAATAAAACCTCACTGAAGGAATGGAAAGACTCTTGGAGTAGAAAAGGTGAAGACTGTACTTTTACTTGCAGGTATCCTAAATCTCAGACACTGAAATCCACACAGAGCAAGCTTGGGGTAATGAGGCTCTGAGGAAGCACACTGTGGAGGAGGCGACACTCAGTACCACTTGTCCCGGAGCCAGACTCCTGCAAACTTCAGCCATAGCACAGCTATCTTCAGTTTTTCATAAGCTGATGTGAGTCCTCCATGTCAGCATAATAGTGTATAAGGTCAAGGAATATTCTCTTTGGATTATAATAATTATTACCTGTCTATACTACTCCTCCTTTGGGTAGCCCAGTTGACTGGGTGATTTGCTGACATTGTCTCTAGTTCCTCTGCTACCACATCTCTAAGATCACGTGACTTCTCTCTCGATCCCAGCTTCGTCACTTCAATTATTGATCTCACATTCATTTTCCTCATTTGTTTTCAGTTTTCTATTATCTTTTGTATACGTTGGTATTGGTCGTGGGTTTAATACTGCAATACAAGACCCCCAGACACTCATCTACAATTCTATTTATTGGATTTTCTTTATCTCTCAAAAATTGTCTACATTTGCTGTCTCTACTTCTTAATTTTTAAAATTTTCTGTTTATCCCACTCCAATTAGGCCTTCAAATAAAAACTTCTTTTATGTCTCTTCTTCATTTTAGTCTCATCTCAGGTGTCACTTGCTCTGAAAGATATTCTCTTTCTACCATTTTAAAAGTAGTCCCCGATTATATTACCATGTCCATTATATTTGTAATATCTATCACTAATTAACATTATATTGCTTATATAATGTATTTCTTTTTTATTGTATTTATCATCTTCAGATCATGTTACTACTTGATAATGTTGTTATTTATTTTTCTATGCACATATTGTGTTTTCGTCAAACGTGAGATTCATAATGCATCAATCTTGACCTCTACCTTCCAATAGTTTTCACTCGTAAATATTTTATTAAATGAAAACAATCTTCTGCTCGGAGGCTCAACTACTATTCCCAGTCCTGAATACTTATATAAAAATACTGAAGTAATGATTCCAGCTAGTTTGGAATTATTAGTAAATTTCCTGGGCACTAATATTTTGAACTATTTTCCCCTTACGTGAGGCAAGGGACTAAGGTAAAAAATGGTCTCTGCTACCCTAGTTATTTTTTCTCCCATACCATCCAGATCAGTAGAAGTCACCAGAATTCTCTAGGGCTCGATTATTAGTGATGAACCATGTTTAGGTGATTCCAAATTAATTCATTCCCTTCTGTTGTCTACATGCTGTGTTTTTAAATTTACCAGCAAACTAACCCTGTCTGAAAACCAGATTTTCCACACCTTGGGAGAAAAATGTCCAAAAATTGACATGTAATTCTATTTGATCAGGCATCTTTCATTGAACCTTATAACATCTTGCCAGAAATGTTATTTACATTATTAGATAAAATACTGCGTTGGAAAGTGTATTCCTTTGTAGAGAAATTTCAAAGTGCAAATTTAAACCAGCTCTTCCCTGAATTGCAGGAGGATCCAAGTAAATGCATTTAAAGTAATATAAGCAATGCGGATACTCATTTTGACCCAAGAATGCTGAAAACTTCCTTAGTATTAGCTAAGAAACATTAGATTTTAGAAGTCATTTGATTCTAATGAATGCTTTTTAAACATAAAATGTGATATGAAACAGAATGGCAAAACTAAAATAAAAAGGGTCCTAGTTACTGTAAGTAGCCAAGAAAACCAAGATAATTGTAACAAACAGATTTTGAGGGCATTGAATTAACATCAAAAGGGAGGTACAGCAATATTATGAAGCCAGAGAAACATCTTGGTACTATGATATTGTCTCTCAGAAAATTGTGATCAACTCTCTGAAATCCACTTAACTGTTCTGAGAAAATCAGTACCTCTGCAATTGCAGCATTGTTTGGTAGATTCCATTAGAATGACAATAGGCAGTTAGTAAAAAATACTTTTATTTATAGAAGTTTCATAATGCCAAAGAAAACAATGTATTTCAGAATATAGTTAATGCTTAAAAATGGCAATATTAAACATTTAAAGCTAAAGTTGTAAAGTTTCAAATGGAGGATAGTTTGCATAATCACTTAGAATTATATGTTTTTATTCTTCTGCTAATACTACTATTGCACTAAAACAGCCACTGAAAGCTTTTGTGATCTTGAAAAACACTCAGATTTAACAACAAAAAAAGGAACTTTTAAAAGAAAAGTCTAACCTTTTCTTACTGCAGCGTAGATGCTCTAAAGTATTTTGTGATGAAGACAATTTATAAAATAATAATGTTAAACTAAGCTTTATTAAAGAAAATAATATTGAATTTCTTGAGGAGATAAACATAGCTTTAATTTCATAACTTTTTTTTGTGTTTTGTTTTTTTCACAACTTTTCTTTTAGCCTCTTGTTATCTCATTTGCTTGTCAAAATTGTTAGAGGCATTTGATATAGTTACCAAATCTCTGTTGCTTTACCAAAAAAAATTTCAATCTTATTGCTGAAAGACAATTTTCTTTGTAGTTGTGTATGTTTTATTTCATAGATTTAGTAAGTTTTCATTTCTAATGCACAGTAATTTCACCTTCATATTGAAATATAATTTGTAGAAATAGAACATTCTAGAAAATAAGTTTGCTTTAATATGAGATAAAGGGGATTCGATGATCTGAAGAGTCATAGCACTTAACTTGGAATTTTCAGAGACCAACTCTACAAGGGGAAGGTCTCCTACTTGCCAGTGAGGAACATTCAGTCTTCAGCTTTCTCCTATGCTCCTCCTACATCCACATTCTTCCCCTTCTCCGCTCCTCCTTGTTCTTCCCATTAAATGTGATCATCCCCAGAGCTCCTTTAATCTTCATTTTTAAAATTCTGCTTTTTAAAAATTTATACATATATATATATGTTGTATATATTTTGGGGTAGATGTAGTATTTTGATATCTGTATACAAAGTTGGATGATCAAATCAGGACAATTAGGTTATTCATAACCTCAAACATTTATCTTTTATCTGTGTTGGGAACATTACAAGTCTTCTCTCCTAGCTCTTTTGAAATGTGCAATAAATTATTGTTAACTATAATTTCCCTACTGTTCTGCTGAAATGCTAGAACTCATCCCTTCTATCGAACTGTATTTTGTACACCTTAACCAAATTCTCTTCATACTATTCTCTTTTTATGTTTTCTCTACTATATTATCAAAACCACTGTCAGAACCTTGAAATTTCTACCAAATTCCTCAGGCAAAGTCAATTCCTTGGCAACTTATCATCTGTTATAACACTTATGTTACATAACATAATGGGTTTCACATCTACGCCAAATCAGAGTTTAATTAAGAAATAAAGCTTTATGGTCAGTTTTAAGGAAATAGTACATGTTAACTTAAATAATAATGATAATAAATAGGATTTTTTACATTCTGAGAGAACTTGCTATGAATTATCTACCGTTATCAGCGTTTCCAATTCATTTAAAATTATGATATTTTAATAGCTTATCCAATTATTTTTATTGTATGAAGCATAACATGCCTCAATGGTAAAAAATGGAAACATAAGATTTAACAGGACATTAATGCAGTTTGAAATTACAGTAATTTTGAAATTAAAACAAAAAGATGGAAAACCAAATAATTTTTATAAAAATTTCTCAACATTGAATTTGTAGATTGCTTTGGGAAGTATGGTCGTTTTCACAATATTGATTCTACCCATCCATGAGCATGGGATGTGTTTCCATTTGTTTGTGTCATCTATAATTTCTTTCGGTAGTGTTTTGTAGTTTTTCTTGTAAAGGTCTTTAACCTCATTGGTTAGGTATATTTCTAAGTATTTTATTTTATTTTTTGCTCTATGGTAAAAGGGGTCGAGTTCTTGATTTGATTCTCAGCTTGGTCACTGTTGGTGTATAGCAGAACTACTGATTTGTGTACATTAGTTTTGTATCCTAAAACTTTGCTGAATTCATTCATCAGTTCTAGGAGCTTTTTGGAGGGGTCTTTAGGGTTTTCTAGGTATACAATCATATCATCAGCAAACAGTGACAGTTTGACTTTCTCTTTACCAATTTGGATGCCCTTTATTTCTTTTTCTTGTCTGATTGCTCTGACTAGGACTTCTAGTACTATGTTGAAGAGGAGTGGTGAGAGGGGACATCCTTATCTTGTTCCAGTTCTCAGAGAGAATGCTTTCAACTTTTCCGCATTCACTGTTATGTTGACTGAGGGTTTGTCATAGATGGCTTTTATTACATTGAGGTATGTCCCTTCTGTGCCAGTTTTGTTGAGGGTTTTAATCATAAAGGGATGCTAATTTTGTCAGATGTGTTTTTTGCCTCTATTGGGATGATTATGTGATTTTTGTTTCTGATTCTATTTATGTGGTGTATCATATTTTTTATTGACTTGCATATCACTGCATTCCTGGTATGAAACCCACTTGATCATGGTGAATTATCTTTTTGATATACTATTGGATTTGGTTAGCTAGTATTTTGTTAAGGATTTTAACATCTATGTTTATGAGGGATATTGGTCCGTAGTTTTTTGTTGTCATTGTTATGTCCTTTCCTGGTTTTGGTATTAGGGTGATACTGGCATCATATAATTATTTATGGAAGATTCTCTCTCTCTCTCTCTCTCTCTCTCTCTCTCTCTCTCTAAGAGTCATTCTCATTCTGTCACCCAGGCTGAAGTGCAGTGGCACCATCTCTGCTCACTGCAACCTCTGCCTTCCGGGTTCAAGCAATTCTTCTGCCTTAGCCTCCCAAGTAGCTAAGATTATAGGCACCCACCACCACACCCAGCTAATTTTTATATTTTTGGTAGAGATGGGATTTTCCCATGTTGGCCAGGCTGGTCTTAAACTCCTGACCTCAAGTGATCCACCTGCCTTGGCTTCCAAAAGTACTGAGATTACAGGTGTGAACCACTGTGCCCAGCTCCCTCTTACTCTATCTTTTGGAATAGTGTCAACAGGATTGATACCAATTCTTCTTTGAATATCTGGTAGAATTCAGCTGTGAATCCAACTGGTCCTGGACTCTTTTTGTTGGTAATTTTTTATTACAGTTTCAATCTCACTGCTTGTTATTGGTCTGTTCAGTGTTTCTAATGCTTCCTGAATTAAACTAGGAAGGTTGTATCTTTTTGGGAATTGAGCCATGTCCTCTAGGTTTTGTAGTCTATGCACTTAAAATGTTCATAGTAGCCTTAAATGATCTTCTGTATTTCTGTGATGTCAGGTGTATTGTCTCCCATTTCATTTCTAATTGTGCTTATTTGGAGCTTCGCTATTCTTTTCTTGGTTAATCTTGCTAATGGCCTATCAATTTTATTTATCTTTTCAAAGAACCAGCTTTGTGTTTCATTTATCTGTTGTATTTTTGTTTGTTTGTTTCAATTTCATTTACTTCTGCTCTGATCTTGGTTATTTTCTTTCTTCTGCTGGGTTTGGGTTTGGTTTTTCTTGTTTCTCTAGTTCCTTGAGGTGTGACCTGAGATTCTCTATTTGTGTTTAACAAAGCAAACAAAAACACGAAGTAGGGAAAGGACACCCTATTCAACAAATGGTGTGGGGGTAATTGGCAAGCCATGTGTAGGATAATGAAACTGGATCCTCATCTCCCACCTTATACAAAAATCAACTCAAGATGGATCAAGGACTTAAATCTAAAACCTGAAATTATAAAAATTCTAGAAGATAACATTGGAAAAATCCTTCCAGATATTAACTTAAGCAAGGATTTCATGACTAAGAGCCCAAAAGCAAATGCAATAAGAACAAAGATAAATAGCTAGGACTTAAATTGAAGAGCTTTTGCATTACAAAAGGAACACTCAGAAAGGTAAACAGACAACCCACAGGGTGGGAGAAAATCTTCACAATCTATACATTCAACAAAAGACTACTATCCAAAATCTACTAGGAACTCAAACAAAGTAGCAAAAAAAAAATCCCCATCAAAAAGTGGGTAAGGACATAAATAGACAGTTCTCAAAAAAAAGATATACAAATGACCAATAAACACATGAAAAAATGCTTAACATCACAAATGATCATGGAAATGCATATAAAAACCACAATGCAATACCACCTTACTACCTCAAAAATGGCCATAATCAAAAAATCAAAAAGTAATAGGCATTGGTGTAGATGCAGTGAAAAAGGAATACTTCTACACCACTGGTAGGAATGTAAACTAGTACAAACATTATGGAAAATAGTGGGGAGATTCCTGAAATAATTAAATGTAGAACTACCATTTGATCTAGCAATCCCACTACTGAGTACCTACCCAGAGTAAAAGAAGTCATTATACAAAAAAAATACTTCACTTTCATGTTTATAGCAGCACAATTCACAATTACAAAAATATGGAACCAGCCCAAATGCCCATCAGTCAATAAGCTGTGGTATATATATGTACAGTGGAATACTACTCAGCCATAAAAAGGAAGGAATTAATGGCATTTGCAGCAACCTGGATGGGATTGGAGACTATTATTCTAAGTGAAGTAAAAGTAACTTAGGAATGGAAAACCAAACATTCCATGTTCTCACTCATAAGTGGGAGCTAAGCTGTGAGGATACAAAGGAATAAGAATGACACAATGGACTTTGGGCACTCAGGGGGAAATGGTGAGAAGTGAGTGAACGAGAAAAGGCTACAAATTGGGTTCATTATAGACTGCTGAGGTGATGGATGCATAAAAATCTCACAAATCACCACTAAAGAACTTACTCATGTAACCAAATATCACCTGTTTCCCAAAAACCTATGGAAAAAAAAATTCTCAACATTTTATCTACAGTAGGATTGAGTCAATGAACATTACAATGATAATTGTATAGTACATATATTTTATATTACTTAACATATAATTTAATTACTTATTAATATTATTTTTATTTGTGTATAATTTATTCAGAAGTATTTATGTTAGATTCGTCATTTAATAAGTATAAAAGCAATCTGAGAAAAAACTGAAGAGATAATAATGAACAATTATTGTCTTATAGAAAATTATATTTTATAAAAATCAGTTTCCATCCTTCTGGTAATAAATATGTTATTCTGAAAATTGTACACTTAAGACATATTCAGTGCTTATTCATATTGTTTTACTCTTCTTATCCATATTTCTAAGTTGTATAAGACAGTAAAAAATGCATTTGCTTATTGAAAGAATTAATTCTAGAACCTGAATGTATGCATTATCAAAGAATATCATCTTTAGTTTTTCAGAACTGACTTCTAATTTCATTACATTATGAAATAGTATGGTATAATATATAGTGTTCTTAGAGTTAAATATTTTTTTCTGATAACTCATTGAAATACAACTAAAATAACCAACATAATTCTGAATAAAACTTAATTTGATAGCTATTGTCTACATAAATCTGCACAAATGTGAATTTTCTTTCATAGGTTCTTGCAAATACACTAATATTTTTACTGAAGCATATATACTGAACCATTTGTATCCTGCATTTTTAGAGAAAGGTACAGAAAATCCTTGTGGTAGACTCAGTCTCTCTCTACTGCAAAGAACAGGTAAATCATAGTCTAAGTGTAGCTTGGTGTATTCATCTATTCTTGCTCTGGTATAAAAAAATATTTGAGACGGGGTAATTGACAAAGAAAAGAGGTTTAATTGGCTCCTAGTTCTACAGGCTGTACAGGAAGCATAGAGGCTTTTGCTTCTGGGGAGGCCTCAGGAAACTTACAATCATGGTGGAAGGCAAAGGGGAAACAGACACGTCTTATATGGCAGGAGCAGGTCCAAGAGGGAGTGGGGAGGTGCCACCCACTTAACCACGTCCCATGAGAACTCTATTACCAGAACAGCACCAAAGGGGGAAATTCACTGCCATGATCTCATCACCTTTCGCCAGGAGCCATCTCCAACATTGGAGAGTACAATTCAAGATGAGATTTTGGTGGGGACATAGATCCAAACTGTATCACTTGGACATGAGTAGAGTTCTTTAGTTACCGGTAACTGGAGGTAGACCTGAGCCTCCCAAGGGAAAAACTTACTGTTGAAATGGGACAAATCTGACTGGAAATAATATATATATTGTGGATATAACAATGAATTAAACATCTCTAAAAAACTATATTGAACAAAATGATTCGAAGTTTTCTATAACATTTTAATTACACAACAATAGTTATTTGAATGCTCACTGCCAATTATTTTAACGTACATTGTTCTTTTGTTTCAAAAAAATCATGGGTTTATTTTTTTTAATGCTTCTTTTTTTTTCCTTCTTTCTCTTTCTTTCTTTTTTCTTTTTCAGATGACACGAGAACAATACATACTAGCAACCCAACAGAATAACCTGCCAAGGACTGAGAATGCACAACTTTACCCAGTGGGAATTTATGGATGGCGAAAGAGGTGCTTATACTTCTTTGTCCTTCTGCTGTTGGTTACCATGATAGTTAACTTAGCCATGACAATATGGATATTGAAAGTTATGAATTTCACTGTGGTAAGTACCACTATGATTTTACATCTTATTGCTCTTGGTTCAGAGACAATCTAGCTCTGTTACTTTAATTTTTTAATCAAAAGTTATTCATATCAATATTTACAAGTGTGTGTTTTTAAATCCCAAAGAAAATAATATTTTATTTTAAGAATACATTCAGTAGGTTCAGTCCTGACACACGTATGCTATTACTACCTGCCATTTAAGTGTGGGAAATTTAGATCACGAGACAGTACAGCACATTGATTCATTAGAACATTTCAAGAACATTTAACCAGTAAGTATGAACTATTACTTACTGTGTCTTAAAATCTAAGAAATTAGCCTGCTTTTAGAAGTGATACTTCACATTAAAATTAATATTACTTTTATAAATCATATGTGCCTTTGAATTACTTCATATAACATATATACCTTTATATATCTCTATATCTGCTTTCTATGTAACACACTGCATGACTGAATCTGAAAGCCTGGAATTTCTCCTGAAGTACATTGACTAATGCCTATAATTGCCATCAGATGGTGATCCCATTCTTTCATAGCACATCCCTCGTAAATGGAAGATAAACCAGCAATTAAATCACTCTTTTATAAAAGTAACTAATTACAAAATGATTGTATAATGTATTAATGAAGTTTGCTGCAGTTTACTGAATGTTTATAATAAATCTATGAGCATGACTTATCTGGGAAAATTTTGTGGCTTCAGCAAAGTCCAGTTTAGCTCACTTTATATTTTCTGGCTGATGCCTTCAGTTTCTCTACTCTGCTTTTAAACCATTCTGCTTTTCCTTGGGGACCTCAGATATCTCCACATACAAGCAAGTATCTTTCACTGCTGACCAGACTGCTATTATTCTTTAGAACTCTGCATCCTCAGGAGTGAGTCTAAAGCTGGCTGTTTAACTTCACTGATATTCCTATACTGGGCTGTTTAAGTTTGTTTGTTTGTTTTTTAAACCCCACTGGGTATTGGTTTAGCAAGAATCGTCTCTTTCTGACTTCACTAACTCTTAATTCTAACTCGGAAACACAATATCAAAAGGGAAAATGACCCTAGCTGCCGTCCATGTTGTAAGGCACCACAATTATGTGAGCAAGGAGCCTGTGCGGGCAGGTGGCTTAACCTTCCAGAGAGGAGACACTGTCACCTTGCATATCAAGATAAAACAGCATGTGCTCATGGAGGGAAATGAGCCACGGTTCCATTTTTTTTCCAATAAATTATAATTTTGTAAAGTATTCATCAAATAAGAAACTGAAGGCAAAGAAAAGTTGGCCAGGAGTCAATATTTTCACAGAGTTAGAAAATAATAACTGTTGCCTAGACATGGATATGCGTCCCAGGTCAGGGATCAAGGCATGAGGCCATGTGAGGGTGGCTAGAGGTTGAGTTGAAGGCTTGTAGGTACATTCTCCCTTATGAGATTCTCTGGGAATGCATCTGAATCACTTCTTTGTCTAAGAGTTGGCTCACTTTACCCTCTCATTTGGGAATATTTTGACACAAATATCAACAACTCTAGCCATCATATTTCTGTTCTCAGCTCTGCTCCTGCCTTCTCTGACTACTGTCTGGGTGTCCTTCAGGAGTCATTTATCGTATGGTAGGAGCAATGTTTATGCTCCTGCACATTCTTTTGTCCTGCTTTAAATAGCAACCAGACTATCAGTTGCTGAAAACATTTTCAGCCTCATTTTTTAACTAAAATTAATATTATAAAAGAGGTAAAGCATATTCTCCAAATTTTGAAATTTCAGTAATATGATTTTCTCTATCAAAGGCATCTTTCAAAAGCTCATGAATGATGCGACAAGCTCTCTCACTTCAGGGAGCATTGATTCCTTCCAATGACTAAACCCCAGGAATTTTCAGGTTCAAGCCTTGTGAGCTTTTCAAGCATATTTAAATTAATTAGGAAAATATACTTAAATGCGTAATTACATGGCTACATGCATCAGACTCCCAATACTTTGCCCCATGCTGACACCAAGGCTGGATAAGCCATCCCTGTTAAATCATTGACACAGTCACCTGTGTCCTCAGGATCCTCATGGGCCTCAGGGTTCCTGTCACCCATGGAGCTCTTTAATTTGAACCTCAGCTGGCCAGAATGTAAATTATAATGCAACATGGTCCTGGGGATAATTAAAAGGGGGTTGTTTCCATAGGAGTGTTGGTATTTATTTATTTATTTTTTTACGTTTTCCTTTGAAGCATGTCTTTTAAAAAATTATGTTTTGACCTTTTTATAATCAGAAGGAAAACTGTCCTTCCTTCACCCACGAAAACTATTTGCATGTAGCTGAAGTAAAATGCACAGATGAAGTTTTCAGGAATGTATCACACTGTAAGGTGACACACTCTTTGTAAGGTAACACACTCTCTAGCTCAATGTAGTCACTTATAGTTGTTCAGAAAAAATTCAGAATTCCTTATGTAGTTGCAGACTTCAGCAATCCTGAATACTAGAGATTATGTTGTATATACTTGAAGGGTGTGAAATAATTTGTAATCGTCTTCCATCAGAGCAGTAAAATAAAACCAATGTTATGTTTTTACTAGTGCATTATGTTCCTTTTCATATCTACAGAGAATACCAAAGACTAGTTGCCACACTATAGTAAGAAGTAGAAAATCATGCGTCAGTTGTTTGGGGAGTACTATTGATCTACACAAAATGTATTTCACTTTCATTATAACTATTGTATCCAACACAGGGAAATCTGTGGCTGTTAACATCTTTTATTTGAGCAAACTGGGCATGTTATTTTTATCAAAATATTGTATTTTTAGCATAGCAAGGATAGCTGCCAACATGTTTTATGATGTTTGTGGAAGTCCATCATTATGAGCGATATTCTGCATGATGTATATGATTGATATGCCCTTGTGTTTTTGGAAATAATTTGTGTTTTTCATTTTTTAGAAAATAAAATTATTCTACTTATTGAGATACCCAGTTGTAGAAAACCAAAAAAGGAAATGACTTTATATTACAGGATGAAAGACTTAGGATAGAAATAAATAATTTCCTGGCTATGAGAGCAGATACATACATACATACTTTCATATATATATTTTATATATATATAATATATATATTTTATGTATATATATAATATATATAATATATATTATATATATTATATATATATTATATATATAATATATATTATATATATTATATATATTATATATATTATATATAATATATATAATATATATAATATATATAATATATATAATATATAATATATATAATATATATAATATATATATGAAATAGTTGAAGAGGAAAATTTGAATCATCAATTTGTTGAGGTCAGTACAACCCATTTCCATGTTATCAATTGCTATTTGGTTGATTACTATAACATCTTTGTGGTTTAGTTAATAGACTAGTCTAGCAGGTCTCTCAAATCCAGGCATTCTACTGAGGCAGTATTCTTTTCTAGCGTCAACACTCATTCTAAATAAATTCTTTCTATATTTGATAATTGAAGATTGTTACAATAATAAAGTACTGATTTTAAGAACAAAAGTACCAACTAAGGTTTGGTGGCCTCTAGCTGATAGATATGCTAACTAGCCAGCAAAAAAAAAAAAAAGAATTACAATATAAATAATATTTATTAAGCAAATGGGGAGAGCAAATTCATTAATGCTGTGAGTTAAAGAGAAGTCAAGAATACCCAGACCTGGGTAATAATTGAAGCAATTGATTAATTAAACAAATTGGGGAAAGAAGTCTTGCGTGATCATTGGGAAGAAAGTTGGCTGAAAGAAAAATCCCAAGAAAATAATTGAGTATCATTGTCGTTTTTGGATTGAAAGGGAATTGGGAAATTTTAGAACAACTATCTGTACATTACAAGAGATCATTTTACGATATTTTCTCCATTTGGTCACTTGGCATCTGCTTAAACCCTGAAAGGCAGGTAATTTTTTATGGCAATATGATGTATGTCCTTCTAAAGGGCCATCTTGAGTTGGGAAGAATTGATGGCAAGGTTACCAGCAATCCCAGGTCTCCTATTGCTGGTTAAGACCTCATAAGCACAGGAGATGCTCCTGTGATCTACGCAATGGTATTTATTAAGTTGGAAAAAACAGTTTTGGGTTCTGAACACCAAGGTTCATAATTCCCAGCGGATCCTGCATTTAGACCCCACACATAGCAGTAGTACAGCCAGCTGTCATCACTGACACTTTAAACTATTTATTATGAAATATTTCATCCTACAAAAGAAAAAGCAAACTTTACCAATATCTTGTAACTCCATGTAGATAACCACAATCCTGAATACTTTTCCTGCTTTTATTTATATGCTTATTTAATGCATAAATATAAATTTTATATAAAATAAATATTTATATAATTTATATAAAATAAATGCATAAATATAAATATTTGTATGCATGTATATGCATATTTGTATACAATTCAACCATTATATTGTTTTTAGCACAAAATATATATTATCGCTTGTGCAGCTGTAATTCATTTATTTACTGCTATACATTTCACTGAATGAACAAATCTCATTTATTTATCTCTTCTCCTAAGTTGTTTCCAATATATTTCTGTTGTTTAATTTGCTATCACAACCAATGATCTTACGAATTTTCTTGTATGTCGGTGTTGGTCATTACATTTGCACAAGTACAAGAGTTTCTCTAGGTTCTAGCGTCTAGAAGGAAGTCTAGGAATCTTAACCTTTAATGCCACCTTTTTTTCCCCAGTGTGATTGTATCAATTTATACCACCACTAGCAACCTGTAGGAGTTTCTTTTGTTGACCTTACCAACTTAACTCTTAACAATTAATTCCCATCTAAACTAACTTGTTACCTCCTAAGCTACAAATCTGATCACCTATCTTTCTCATAATAATCTTCCTTATTTACTTGTTTCTTTCCTTATTTATGTGGCCTTTTCTGGCAGATTTATTCTTTTATTTGTCTGTATTCATATATGTCTGTATTCAAGTATCTCATCCCTGTGATAGGATTTACTATGTTGTATTAGAAATATAATTATATGGTTCATCCAAATATGTACCTCTTCTCCTCTATCAACGTCCCCGCATTTCCTTGTCCCTTTGAAGTGTAAATTCCCTAAGGAGCAGAAGCTGTTCTTATTTACCTTGATATCTTGGTTGAGCACATAGTAGGTGATACATTATTTTTCGCTGACTTTTTTTAAGTTTTAAAAGTGTAGGTTCACTTTCAGTAGAGGGATCTTCAAATTTAATGTTTTAATTTTTTCACTTGTTCTCTCAGTAAACTATTTCAGATTCTGATCCGTTCCCATTTTTAAATGAATGTCCTTGTCTCCTATGAACAAAGTGGCATTACTCAAGTCTGTTCACATCTTTCATCTAGGGTGGCTAGCTTCCCCTGATAGGAGGAAAAACAGCATAATTTCTGTCCGAATCCGAAAGCACTTTGGTAAGATAGTTTTTCAGTGAAAGTACAGTCCTTTGAATCTCCATTTACTAGCTCTGTCTGACTTCCTCAGTAATAACTACTGTAAAACCTGTCTTTTCTTTTTTAGACACACACACACACACAAACTTGAATTTTACTTAAAGTCGCTATTTTCCATACTACTCTACCTTAAGGCAAGATATGCTGGTAATTAACAGGCAGCATTGGCCGGCAATTAACTGGTAAATTACTACCAACCACCACAGCCTCTGTGCTAACACTTCTTTACAACCCCTCTAGAAAAAGTAATCTGGCCTTTAACAGGAAGAGAAAATAGCTGTGTTTCAAGACTTCCAGCCTCACCAACTGCAGTAGAGCCTCAGCCTGCCCAGCAAAATCAGACATAATTCCCGCCAAATACCTCTTCATTTAAGAATTGAAATCAATGGAATAGAACAATTTCTTGAGAAAATTGTTGACCCAATTTGGTCTCATATGCAGGATATTCTGATTTTTCTGAACTCACTTTGATTTTTTAAAAATACACATACACATGCACAGGCACATACACCAAACAAAATAAGCCCCCACTAATTATAATCTAATTTTCAGTTACTAAATGAAAGCTGAAAAAGGTCAGTAACGGCAGAACTTAGAAAATGGGAGAAACTTTATTTAAATAGCTCACAGGGATAAAATCAGGGGTGTATGTTTTGTTATGTGCATTTCTCGTGGAATTTTGATAGAACATAGACTCCAAATTTTTAAAATTCAGAACCTCATGCTTTTACCTGTAAGCATTCATTTTTCTCAAAAACCCACAACTAAATCAGGATGTTTTTTATATGCAACAATTTAAGAACATAAAATGAATTCATTTTTATATTCATAAATGTTATATAGCCAGGGAATAAAACAGGACCCTGTCTTCCCTGCCCGTGGAGTATTTTCTTATACAAAATTGGTGTTGATTGCAAGAATTCGTCATGTTGCTGGCTGCTAAAACCATCTCCAACTAACCTTTCAGCAGTGGTTCAAAGTATGAACCCTGGGGCTATACCTTTTTGTCCAAGTCCTGGCTTTCTCATTTATTAGCTCTATTACCTCGTGCAAGTTATTTAAACTGTGGCTCTGTTTCTTCCTCTGTAGAGTGGGTGTGATCTATTTCATCAGGCTGATGTAGAAATCAAAAGAATTAAAATAATAAAAGTGTTCCAGAAGTACCTGACATATACTAACAATTAATTAACAACATATACTATCAGACTTATCCATATTCTGCCCTTCCATCTTCACAAAGGTCCTATCTGCCATGTGAATGAAATTTACTCTTTCTGTTAAGGTTGAGCATAAAACAATCCTAGACACATAAAAAGATCTCAATAAATATGCATTAACAAATAAATAAGTGAAGGGGTTTATAATTTTGTAAATCCAGATGATATTAACAAGATTGATGATGTTAACCTGATTGAAGGTTTTGGACCCGAGCTTTGGAGGCAAATAGCCTGATTCACATTATGGCTCCAAGACTAGCTTCTTAGCAGGGTTACCTTGTGCTGATTACTGAACTTCTCTGGCTTCGGTGCTTCATCTGTAAAATGGTGATGATGATGTTGATCTCATGGAGATATTCGAAGCATTAAGTGAGTGAACACTTACAAAAGCTCTTTAAAACAGACCTTAGAGTAAACACTCAATTAATGCCAGTAAAGTACAAGAACAAACATTATTTCCATGCATTATTAGCTGTGACTAATGAAAGTTATTCTATATGGTACATTTTGCCAGGAAAAATGTCTTATGTCCTTGATGAAGGCATAAAAAAGATTCTTTATGAAATTCTAATTTAGTGCTGAGATATAAAAAGCGTTTACATAAACTTCTAAGAGGAACAGTTTAGCTGTCAACCATCATTGTTATTTTGATGACACTAAGCAGATTATGAAAACCTGTGTCACCTGTCAGCACCCTTTCTGGCCGTCTGAATGAGGGAGCTTATTTGTCAGAGCGAGCTAATCTTCTTTTGAAACATCTTGAAAAATGTAATACTTACAAATTGTCTGGATAATAAATTGGAATTTCTGTGTTGATTCTAAATATGCTGAGTTTCTTTAATGAACAGAGTGTCAAATTATTACCTGATTAAGATATTATATTGTGAATTATTTTGTAAAATACCCTGAATTATAACGTTCAGGCTATAGCCATTTAAATATGAGAGGAAAGTTTAAGATGCCAGAGAGCCCATATTAGGTACTTTTTTTTTTCCAGCAAGATTATATGCATTATAGACCAGGCTTTATGGAGTTTCACAATAACACTTTAAAGCAAATATTGTATCCCCTCTGGCAGATGAAAAGGCAGAAACTTAGGGAAATTAAATAAACTTCCCAAGGTCACACTGATGAACAAGAGTAAAAGCATGGGTTGTATAGTTTCTGAGATTCCACCGCATTTCATTGTATTAATGCTACTAAATTTAAATTTAAATTCTTTTTAAAAATATTCTTCAAAAAATGGTT
The DNA here is from genome assembly GCF_000001405.40 of Homo sapiens. NCBI lineage: Eukaryota > Metazoa > Chordata > Mammalia > Primates > Hominidae > Homo > Homo sapiens. The sequence goes on along the minus strand of NC_000008.11, from coordinate 14,546,770 downwards.
TACTTCCTTTACATGGTATAACTCCGTGCTTTCATATAACACCATTAAATATATAAATACAATATTACTGCTTATTAATTATCTTTTGAACTTGGGCAAAAGATATCTTAATACCCTCAAACTTTATTAATTAAATGGAAGAATGTACCTAATCTCTCATAGTTAGTGTGTAATTAGAATGGTTAAAACTGATCTGTAAGTGCCAAGTATGACTACATTTATGAGTTTAGCAGAGCGGGCATAGGTTTAATTTCTGGAGAGTACAATGACATTTATTAATGGCACCTTTATAAAAGAAACAATGATTTTCAGAAAGCTATTTTATCCCTGTGATTGCAGTTTAGTCTTCGCACTGGTTAAACTATATTTTGCTGAGTAGTAACTCATTGTCCACGATAAGAAAGCACTCTGGAGGTGATTTAAGCCCGTAGTTTTTGCCCGCCTTTCTGAGCTGCCATTTCCATTTTCCGAATTCATTCCTCAGCACGCACATCATGGCACTTGCCCTGGAGATGAGACAGGGCTCCACCTTCTAGGGCGTGACTACAGCTCTGCCTGCGAGCACCAGCAGCAGAGACCGCACTGCCCCTCAGTGTGGTGTGTGTGGATTTATTACAGGATTGATGAGAGTAAATGATATCGTTAATGTTGCAAGACTGCTTCCATTATACCCTTCCGTATGCAGCTCCTCATGATTTTCTGACAAATTGTCCCTCTCAGATGAAATCTTTCATGCTTAGTCTTAGCTGGCAGTATATTTCCTTTCCTTGACTTTATAAAGAAAAATTCAGTCATTTTTATCCAAGTGCAAACAACTACCAAGTGATAAGTTCTTTTTCCTGAAGTAAACTACAAGAATTGTGGCATAAGATAAATCACAAAATCATACATAGCAAGTGCAAAACAAAGTTCATTAGAGTACTAGAAATGTTGCCAGAGAAAAAGAAGGATTAAGAAAATTAGCTGTTGAATAAAAAAATACAGAAATTAGAGACTTGTTAGTTGATAGGTTTGATATATTGTACAATAGACTAGAGTGAGGGGGTGGGGAACTTTAGTTTAGTGCCCTTTTTTATCTATAAGAAGTGACAGAAGTCCAGAAAATTAAAACCATTTGCCCTTGTGGATGGCTAATAGCCAGGACATAAAGTAGATTAAACACATTGAACTTTATGAAATATGTGTGTCATCTCCATATGTAAACTTATTTTTGCAAGTAATAGCATATAGTATATCTTAAATAATATGATGCTTTTAGTAGGACATTTAGAAAAAGAATTTTAAGTTTTAAAATGAAATAAAAGTAATAATCTTAAGAAGGGTTTATGTTTTCGCTATTTTGTAAAAAAAAAAAAAGTAAGCATTTGCTTTTCAAAAGTATAATTGAAATATTGTCTTATTTGTTGTTTCCAAGCAAAGATAATATTATCTTAATAAAAATTATCTTATTGGGCAAGAATTTCTATGATTTATTATTTTGAATAATAATAGCATCACTGTCCTTTCTATTGCCAGTTGGTAAACTCATCCTCAGACCTAATAAGTATTTCTACCATTTATGAAAATTAAATTTAGTTTTCAGTCTGTGTCAGTGTTTATTGGGGGACATGCCCCCAATATTTCAATGTAGGTTCTTTCTATTTTCCATAAGTGTCAGCCGGCTGAGAAATAAAGAGAGACAGTACAAAGAGAGGAATTTTACAGCTGGGCCGCTAGGGGTGACATCACATATCTGTAGGACTTGATGCTCGCCTGAGTTTCAGACCAGCAAGTTTTTATTAAAGGTTTCAAAAGGGAAGAGGGTGTAAGAACGGGGAGTAGGTACAAAGATCACATGCTTCAAAGGGCAAAAAGCAGAACCGCTAATAAGGGTCTAATAAAGATCACATGCTTCTGAGGGAACAGGACAAAGGGCAAAAGCAGGACTACTGATAAGGGCCCAAGAAAGATCACAAGGCAAAGGGCAAAAGCAGAACCACAGATAAGGGTCTATGTTCAGTGGTGCACGTATTGTCTTGATAAAGATCTTAAAGAACAGAAAACAGGGTTCAAGAGCAGAGAACCGGTCGAGCACAAATTTACCAGGGTGGAGTTTTCCCCACCCTAGTAAGCCTGAGGTTTCTGCAGGAGACCAGGGTGTATCTCAGTCCTTATCTCAACTGCACAAGACAGACATTCCCATAGCGACCATTTATAGACCTCCCCCAGGAACGCATTCCTTTCCCAGGGTATTAATATTAATATTCTTTGCTAGGAAAAGAATTTAGCAATATCTCTCCTACTTGCACGTCCGTTTATAGGCTCTCTGCAAGAAGGAAAATACGGCTGTTTTTCCCCGACCCCGCAGGCAATCAGACCTTATGGTTGTCTTCCCTTGTTCCATAAAAATCGCTATTATTCTGTTATTTTTCAAGGTGCACTGATTTCATATTGTTCAAACACACATGTTTTACAATCAATTTGTACAGTTACCACAGTTATCACAGTGGTTCTGAGGTGATGTACATCCTCAGCTTATGAAGATAACAAGATTAACAGATTAAAGTAAAGACAGGCATAAGAAATTATAAAATTATTATTTGGGAACTGATAAATGTCCATATTAAGATGAAATTTTCAGAATTTATGTTCCGCTGCCACAGCTCTAGCCAGTCCCTCCGTTTGGGGTCCCTGACTTCCCACAACAAGTGTTTTTTAATATTTCTGGGAAATCACCATTAAAGCCCTCTTACAAATAATTACTCTGTGCTCGGGGCTCCTTACATCTGCTGATAGGTGAAGCTTTGGGGTAGGTAACCACTCCATTCTCACAAACACTGGTGATGGGCCATAACACATCTCTAAGAGTATTTAACAGTAATTCATCTTGTCTTTCAAATTCTGTAATCAAATCAGGCACACAGCTACTAAGTAGTCAAATATGTAGTCAAACAGAATTTGAACTCAGTCCGAAAATGCTATATTACTATGGTACTTGTGTGTAATTTACTGGATAGATCTAAGATTATTTATTCATTTATTATTTTATAGAGAGGTGATAATTTTAAAGATCTTGCCTTGCCCGTACTAAATAACCAGTGTAGTCCAAGTTCTTAACTAAGATGGCCAAGTAGGATCCGTGATTCCTCAGTTTTTACAGTAAATATCTGTTGTGATCAAACCTAAAGATGGCCTTGAGAAATTTATCTTAAGTGATTACAGCACCATGGACAAGGAAGGAGATTTGGTCTCTTTACACAATACTTTTTGTGCCCTTGTGACTTGTGGGTGAACTGGGTATTTTAAATTACTTTTCCAGGATAATGATGGAGGCTGTCTAGACTTCATTTTTACCCAATCATGTAATAATGATTTTAGTGAAGGGCAAACTGTGTTTTAAGAACTCAGCAGAGTTACAGGATGCTTAGAAATGTCCAGACCATAATTAATATACATCACAATTTTGAAAGTTAAATAATAGATTAGAAAGAATATTTGAACAAATTTCTAGGAGGAGTCTGAATAGAGAAAGTCTGAAAGAAGTCAAAGTATATAATCACACTAGTACAGTATTAGGAGCAAGAAACCAAAGCATTCTGAAGTACTTACATAGTTTTATTTTAATCATACTTAGAACAATTGTGAAAATACATGTAATATATAATTATGTTATATTACATATAATGGTGCCAATGTTCCTAAATAAAATATCCAAGCAGAACAGACAGATTAAAGTAAAACCAGTCAATATAACACAGAGTGTAATAGCTCAGTTTTTGTACTTAAGCTTGTTTACAATCACTGGTTTTCCCCCTTTCTAGCTGAATGAATTTGAAGAAGTTTTTAAGGCCCTATATATGTCAGTGTTATTAACTTCATTTGTTAAAAAAAAGGTAATAGTAGCTAACTCATTGGATACTTTGATGATTAAACGTAAATAGCACCCTTAGCAGAGAGATCTAAAAATGATGGCTGTTTCAGATTTTTTTTTAAAATATGAAATACACCAATAAAAAATCCATGATAACAACCCAAAATAATGCAAATAAAAACACATAAACCAAAACACTGCAAAAGTTTCTACAATTATCCTAATTAATGGAGAGAAGTGATGTAGTAGCTTTTAAAACTATGTGCCAGGAACACCAATTTGGTTTAAGAGAGTCCACAATCTATTTCCTTACTGCCCCTAGTTCAGAAATAGGAAATAGAATCTGTGTATAAATAGCTCGGTGCTCTAAGTAACAGGATGGACAAATCTCCTTTATGCTTTTAAGGCCAAATATTAGTACAGGATAGAAAATTTAGTTAAAGTGTCTCTGTAAGGTTTCCTTTTGTTTCTCTGTTCCTTTTCCAAAATATACTAAATAGTCATTAGTGAATAAAAGAATTTTCATCTTCTTCTTTATTCCATAATTCTGCAATTTTGTTGATAGTGCCCTTTTCTCCTGGTGGGGATGAAATGAAAGAGGCAAATGTAATCTCTGCATTTCTTGGGGATTATAAATGAGGGTTAAGATATTAGAAAGAAAACTATAAAAACCCTAGAAGACAACCTAGGCAATACCATTCAGGAAACAGGCATGGACAAAGACTTCATGACTAAAACATCAAAAGCAATAATAACAAAAGCCAAAATTGACAAATGTGATCTAATTAAACTAAAGAGCTTCTGCTCAGCAAAAGAAAATATCATCAGAGTGAACAGGCAACCTACAGAATGGGAGAAAATTTTTGCAATCTGTCCATCTGACAAAGAGCTAATATCCAGAATCTACAAGGAACCTAAACAAATTTACAAGAAAAAAACAAAAAGCCTCATCAAAAAGTGAGCAAAGGATATGAACAGACACTTTTGAAAAGAAGACATATTTGTGGCCAACAAACATATGGAAAAAAGCTCATCATCACTGGTCATTGGAAAATGGAAATCAAAACCACAATGAGATACCATCTCATGCCATTTAGAATGACAATCATTAAAAAGTCAGGAAACAACAGATGCTGGAGAAGATGTGGAGAAATAGGACTGCTTTTACACTGTTAATGGGAGTGTAAATTAGTTCAACCATTGTGGAAGACAGTGTGGCAATTCCTCAAGGATCTAGAATCAGAACTACCATTTGACCCAGCAATTCCATTATTGGGCATATACCCAAAGGATTATGTATTATTCTACTATAAAGACACATGTACACATATGTTTATTACAATAGCATTGACTTGGAACCAACCCAAATACCCATCAATGATAGACTGGATAAAGAAAATGCGGCACATATTCACCATGGAATACTATGCAGCCATAAAAAAGAATGAGTTCATGTCCTTTGCGGGGACATGGGTGAAGCTGGAAGCTGTCATCTTCAGCAAACTAACACAGGAACAGAAAACCAAACCCCTCATGTTCTCACTCGGAGCTGAACAATGAGAACACATGGACACAGGGAGGGGAACATCACATATCAAGGCCTGCCGGGCGTGGGGGTAAAGGGGAGGGAGAGCATTAGGACAAATACCTAATGCATGCAGAGCTTAAAACCTAGATCTTGGGTTGATAGGTGCAGCAAACCACCATGGCACGTGTATACCTATGTAACGAACCTACACATTCAGTACCTGTATCCCGGAACTTAAAAAATAAAATTAGAGAAAATTACACCTGTTTATTTATATCTGATATATATAATATATGTGTGTGTATGTGTTGTGTTTTTGTATATACACATATGTTAATGTTCTTATGTATTATATATACATATATACATATATATGTTCTCATCTCTATATATACATATATATACATAAGAACATTAACATTACTTGTTTTGATATAACTGTGAAAAAATGAAGTTAACATCAACTAAACAATCATAACAAGCAGTAAAGAACAGTTAAGGCAAATATAAATATTTCTTTGTTCATGAATAAGAAAATCTCCAAAATTGAACATGTGACAAGTAAAAAGTTTATTTTACAAGAGAAGAATAATGTACTACTTATGAGGATAAAAATTCTTTCCATGAGATAATATAATTATTTTATGAAGCAGAACGCCTTACAAATGACTACTATCCTCAATATAAAATCAAAGGAATTATGTAATAAGATATGTGATCACTAACATAAGGACATTATGAAATTAATCAAAGTAGTTAAACAGAAAGTGAAAATGTGATCAAGTTGCATACACTAAAATATAGCTATTTTTGGAGAAAATTTAAATAAATAAGACAGAAATAAAGCCATTGAAACAACCCCCAAAATCTGGGAATCAGTGGAAGGGTTTGATAAAAATTGTAAAGACGAAAGATATAGAGATATAATGTAACAGATATCCAGTCTAGAATATAAATTTTTAAAATAAGAAACAAAGCAAAAAACTCAAAGGCAGGTGAAAGTTTGTATTAGAAAGGTAATATTCAGCCATAAAAATTCTCATAGTAGATATTAATACTCATGATACCTCTAATGAAAAAAAGGTCAACACCAAGACAGAGATTGATAATAATTTATAAACCTAACAAAAAGACAGAAATTTGTAAAAAAAAAAAAAAAAAAAAAAAAAAAATTAAGCAGAGAAAATAGCCATTATTTTCCAGGAGTAAAAATATAGCACCAATCTTTGAACGAAAAGCATTGTGCACTGCAGAGTCATAGTATACATACACAAAGGACCTTCTCTGCCAGGATAGATTAGTTTATTTTATGTCATTTCCTCTGGATTTCCCTTGAATTTTAAATTCTTCATAGTTTATTTTATAGGCTTTTTCCTTGTCAGGCTTCTTAAATTTTGTCTCAGCGTGTTGTGTTCACCTGTTTCTCTTTTCACTGTACATGTTCTTCCTAGGTGATCTCATCTACTGGTCCACCTCTATTTTTAAATTAAAGCAAACAAGCCAACAAAGGACTTCTATCTGACATCTCTGCATTCCAGGCTGGTATGGAACTGGAGGCCATTATCCTTAGCAAACTAACAGGAATGGAAAACCAAATACTTCATGTTCTCACTTATAAATAGGAGCTAAATCATGTGAACACATGGACACATAGAGGGGAACAACACACACTGGGGACTTCAGAGCGTGGAGGATGGAAGGAGGAAGAAGATCAAGAAAAATAAATAACAACTACTAGGCTTAATACCTGGAGGGTAAAATAATCTCTACAACAAACCTCCATGACACAAGTTTACCTATGTAACAAACCGGTACTTGTACCCCTGAACTTAAAATAAGTTTAAAAAAAAGCAAAAAATGAAAAACGAACAAACAAACAAAAAAACAGTTGCTGGAGAACCCCACCAATCTTCCCCAATATCCTCTTGTTTGGAAGTTGCCCAGAATAAAACTTGCCTCCTTTTCTCCCTAGCCTTCCCTGACCCCTGAGTTCCCTAATTTTATTGAGGACATTTACATGGTCTCTTCTATAGTTCTTTTTATTAATCAGGGTTCTCCAGACAAACAGAAGCAATAGGATGTATATAGAAAGAGAGAGACAAGGAGAGATGTTACAGAATTGGTTCACATGGTTTTGTATTAGAGGCTGAAAAGTCCCAAATCTTCAGGTTAGGCCATTTGGCGGGAGGCCCAGGGAAGATACGATGCTTTAGTTCCAGTCCGAAGATAATCTGCTGGCCGAATTCTATCTTCCTCTGGGGAAGTCAGTCTTCTTTCTTTTAAATTCTTTAACTGATTGGATGAGGCCCACTCATATTATGGAAGATAATCTGCTTTACTCAAAGTCTGTTGATTTATATGTTGATCTTATCTGAAATATGTTTCTTCAGCACCAGAACACCAGTGTTTGACAAAATATCTGGGTACTTTGGCCCAGCCAAGCTGACACATGAAATTAACCATCACGTAATTTAAATAGCTTTCTAATTGACCTACTTCAAATCCACCCTTCCTATTGCAATTAGAGGGAACCATCTAGAATGCACACTTGGTCTATCTTAAAATATATGTAAGACTCTTCATTGCCTAACAGATAAAGTCCAGCTGGCTCCTTAACACAGCATATAGCATCTTTTACAACCTAATTCATGCCTAACTCTTCTGCCTCACTTACACCACTCAATAGCCAAGATTTTATGCTCCAGTAATGAACAGCTGCTGGTAGATGCTTTTGCTTTTACAAGAAAGGCCTTATTGTGTTATGCTTAAGGAGAAAAGTTATAATTATTCTTCTAACATTTGCTCTGACACTTTCTCCATAGAAAGTATATCAGCTATTTAGGTTCACAAACAACTTTTCTTATGTTAGTAATTTCACCACAGAAACCCTAGAAGAGGGCCACAGTCCTCACTTCCACAGGTTGGGTTAAGTTTCTCTTGGTTCACCCATGGCATCTAGAATGTTCTACTCTTGCTTCATTTACATCATATTGAATACATGTGTTGATGTTTTATTCATTCCCACTTGACTGTAGAGTTTCTTAAAACAAGCCCTGTGTGTTATTTATATTTCTATTCTCAAAGATTTAAATACAGCCTGACATAAAGTTGTGCACAAAAAATCCATTTTAAGGGTTGCCTTCACTAAACATCAAAAGCATTCAGAGACATGATAAAAATAAGTTAAAATAGCAAATACAAATGTAGGATGGGGACAAGCTGACATGTTTCAATAATTATAATTATTCTAACAGCAGAGAATGGATATTTCGAAATATGCACCAGATAGAACATCTATACATATACTTTAAAATTATATTCTCTCACAGTGAAAGATGTCCAGTGGGCCTAATTAACGTTAGTGGTATTCATCTTGAATCATTTAGAATGGAGAGTACAGCAATCAGATGTATGACTCAGTTAAAAATATATGTGATGGATAAAACAAAGCAAAGCAAACGAAAGAGTTGTACCTGGAGATAGAGGGTCTCTTTCTATTTTTATCGATTCATTTCTCCATGCACCTTCCTCCTGATAAGGATATGGAATTCACACTTTCACATTTATATCTTCTCTATAGAAAGTATAACAGCTCTTTAGCGTTCACAAACACATTTTATCATGGCAGCAATTTCCCTGTACAAACCTTACATGAGGGGGGAACATTCAATGACACAGTTGAGCATGATAAAGCTCATATTATTAGTATGTTTTCTTTTAGTAAGTCATGGTGAGAGATAGAGAACAGTATTAAATCTCTGATGGATGGGAAGGAGAAAGTAAAGAGACATTCAACTGTTCCAGGAGAAGAGCTCAAGAAGTGAAAAAAAAAGAAAAGAAAGAAAGAGAAGAGAAGAAAGTCAGATACTAGGGTTCTCAAACTTCCCTAGGGGAAGAATGAGGCCAAATATTGAAATATTATCTTTATTGAAGAAATAGCTTATAACTTGTAATTATTTTTCTCTGTCTTGTTTGGATCTTTTGTAGCAAAGTGCCTTGTAGAGAGTCCCCACATTGACATAGGTTGCCCCAAAACTGAGTGGAAATGTGGTTGTCATATTTAGACAGAGATATGCAATGATACTGCACTAGACGACCCCCCACCCTGGTCTTGAAAATGAAGTGATAGTGAAGAAATGCAGTTCATGTGTGCTCCCAAGATGACAGAAATTAGTTATAATGAGAGTCAGTAGACTCTGATTAGACTTCTGAAGTCCTGCAGGAGATAACTCTATTGCAGAGCTTACAGAGTGGACATCTTTAACCAGGAGATGGATAGTGAATACTGCTGGGTATTCAGAAGAGCTGTTAGAGTCATGATGGGGCTGTGTCAGCAGCAGGAACAATTGCATTGCCTGGCTTGTGTTAAAATCATAACTCATGCAATTCATCCTTCCTTTGTAGTTCTAAAGAAGGTATTTTGAATTTCCTTTTTATAGAATCTTGGCTTAAGACCTACTTAATTTTTTATAGCTTCCTAGTGATGAAAATGCTTTATAGCAGGTCACTTCTCTGCTCAACACTGAAGACTAACAAGTATTAAAATAATAGTTGCTATTTTCTTTTTTGTGGCACTTATATCTTCACATTAACTCATGATGAAATTAAGGTTGAATGGGAAAAAAATGGAAAGCCCTTAGTTTTGTTAAAATATTCCTCATGATCTTCTACACTTATACATGGACACACAGACTGCTTTGAGCAGCATATACCAGGGTCAAAGGAATTATGTTTAAGTGCTTCTATTTCTATGCTACCCAAGGGAAAAAAAATCACCAGTCAAAACCTTTTTGGAGATTTTCAGTTGGCTTAAATTATAGAAATTCCTCTAAAATTCCTTTCAGGTTTTTTTTTCATTAAAATTTTATTTAGTAATAATTTCTATATGCTAAGGAAATGGTTTTATTTGATCTGAAGCATGAAAAGAAATCAAAAGTAGATCTCGTTCAAATAACTTTAATTTTAGATCAAATTTAGATAGCATTTGGTTTTTGTAATGTTGTATGTTTACAGTGCGATACAGAAGTCATCATAAAATCAATGATTTCAGATCATTTTTCTGACTTTGTAGCAATTTTGAGCGTAATTTAATAATTCCTTTTACTTTTACAAGATGTATTTTCTTATCAACATGAATGAATTGTTTCTTTTATCTATGCCATATTTGACACAGCATCCTTGTCTGGAAATGTACCTTTTCATTAGAGTATAATTGCAAAGACAAAAATGTGATATACTTCAAAATACTTTTCATATGTATATGCTAAACAAAATGCAGAATTTCTAGGCATTTTGAGACTTAGTGTTTATTTTGAATGTGTTTAATATGAGTGTATTTCCCCAGTTTTGTTCATTTTAAACTTGTATCTGCCAAAGCTCTCATTTACCACCTAAGCTTATTGATTAATCATTTTATTAACTTATATTTTGAAACTATGTAAGATCATCAATAATTTGTAAAATAGTATAGAGTTCCCATGTACCCTCACACAGATTCCCTGAATGTTAATATTTTACATGCCGTCATGGTTTTTAATATTACTTCATGAATTTTTCTCTAACTTGGATAATTAAAATACAGTTATCTCTTGCTTTGTTTCCCTACAACCCTAATCCATTCTCCAAAATGGTTCCAGAAACATCTTTAGAAATTTTAGTGTCACTCCTCTTAATAAAATTGTGTGAAATCTTGGAATGATAGAATAAGATGATATTTATAAATGAAAGCAAAAATTAAGTGACTTATGTAAATCTAATAAATTTTATTTCCCTTTTCATAAAAGTTATGAAGGCTTAACACTGCAAAAGAAGTTTAATGATAATAGGATTTGTTTCCTACACATTTAAGTTGTATTTTGGGGTAGATGAAATAATTTTAATTACAGCTTGTGTGGGGCAAATAGGAGGAAATAATAAAGATTGTCATTGCTAATCGAGTGAAATCCATGGTGTGACCTTTTACCAGATGTAACCTTTTTTCTTATTATGGCCCATTGCATTTACTTTACTAATGTTATTCTTAGATGCATTTTTAGTCACATAGAGTTTTTAGGAGAAAGCAAGCAGACTTTTTTTTTTCCTGTTCATGGAAATATATTAAACTTTCTTTTAGCCCACATAGATGTCTTACAATTAAAAATAAGAAAACAGTGCATTTTTCAAAACACAGAACATTTGAAATCTTTACTATTCAAATTTAAGTAATCAAATCTAAATAACTCATAATTTTAATAATATCAGTTGAGCCCTGAACAAAATGTTCACACTGCTTTAGTTGAATCAAATGTTTGTGTACAGTTAGTGCATAAACAGATGCAGAAAAGCAGGCACAAATTATTAGATGAAGTTTTTATACTAACTAATAAAAAATCACAGAATATGATTAAGCAAACCTAGAAGGTCCAGGGACTTTATTGAAGAGATACGTCATTCTTGCATTATCGATTTAACTTTAAGTGTGAAATATCTAAGAACAGTAATGTTGATCTGAGAAACTACATTCTTTCCCTTATGCTTATTCATCAGATGGTACAGTACTAGATGGCCTGAGGAAACATTTTCAAAAATCACAATATTAGTAGTATCAGCCTAAAATATTTAGGATTCCGTGATGTGCATCAGATATTGAAAAAGACATAAAAGTTGTACTTTCTTTCAATGAGTTTATACTTGGTTTGAAGGTGACAGAATTGGATATTGTTACCTTGTACCCTTTCCCTCCCATTAAGGCAGATGGCCAGTTTTGATTAAGGTTCCTCCTCCCTCCTGTGCGGTAATTAGCTATTTGCTCAACGGTCTCCTGTCCCAGATCATGAGCACCTCAAAAACAAGACTGTTTCTTATTTGGTTAATTTCCCATGCCTGTAAAATGCTCCTCATATATTAGATGATCAACAAATATTTACTTACTGATTGGATAAAGGAAAGAGTGAAGGTTAATAATGCAAGATGACAATGCTAGAAACTAAATATACAGTTCTACTTAGAAACTTTCCAGTAAGAAGAAATAGTCACTAATTTCCTCTCATGTATTAAAAGTTTCAGAGAGTTTAGACAGAAAGAGCTCTAGAAAACAGCTTATCTCCCCACCATTTTCACTGAACACCAATGAGCCCTTCTTCTGTTTCTGCACCTGCTTCCCTCTTCTCTGTGCCAGCCAGCTCTTCTCTTCTCCTTCATATTTCCTGCTACCTCATAACTTCAGCTTTCACCTGGCATCTTAAAACTTCTCTGGCCTCAACACTTCAGCTCCAGTTTCCAACTCCAAGTGGCTAGATTCCCGAAGGATGTATTGGGACCTTTTTAGCCCAATTCACATTTGTCTGACTACATCCTTGAATCTATTGCTGCAGCTCCTGTAGAGTTTTTGCCCTTTGTTGAGCACATACCCCTGGTAGAATGAGCCTTGCTGCTGTGTCACGTCACTTCTCAGCTGTCTTTCTTCATTATGCTTGCTCTCATTTTTGTTTTCACAGCTCTACCAACATGCTTTCATTTTGAAGGTATTCAGTCACCATGACAGCATGAAAACTGAGAGCTATGTAACCCTATCTTACCCAGAAATTCTTCCAAAACTTTTCTGATCACTCTTCACATAAAATTAATAATTATTCTTGTTTGGAGGAAAGATATATTTTGGTTAATGGTGTTTAAACTTATCATCTGCCATGAATTACAGAAATTATAATGTAAAAGTAGAAAAACCTTCTGTTGATGGATAAAAGAGTACACTTGAATACCAGAAAAGAGCCTGGCTGATCCTAGATTGGAATCCTCTCCACTCTTTCAAATTTTGCACTTAGATCTTCAAAAGTATGTCATCATGAGTTTCTTTGAAACAAAAACCACATTTAGAATATATCTAAATGTTCTATTTGCTATCATAGGATAATGTAAATCTAGTAATGTTTTTCTTCCACATTCCTCATTAGCATAGAATGTTTTTAAAAATCTCAATCAATAATGAATATAATTCAATAAACTCTTCAAAAATTAAAATAAAAGATTTCCACTGAGCCTTTAAATATTTTAATTTGATAAGAAAAGGTCCAATTTTTTTAGTGTTGCTAATACAAAAATGTAAAAAATTCTTAAATTTTACAAAGGTACATTGGATGTACACAAATACCATTTTGGAAAGAAAGTAATGCAATTTTGTTCTCACTCATAGGTGGGAATTGAACAATGAGAACACTTGGATACAGGGTGGGGAAGACAACACACCGGGGCCTGTTGTGGGGTGGGGGGAGTGGGGAAGGATAGCATTAGGAGATATACCTAATGGAAATGACGAGTTAATGGGTGCAGCATACCAACATGGCACATGTATATATATGTAACAAACCTGCACCTTGTGCACATGTACACTAGAACTTAAAGTATAATAATAATAACAAAGAAATAATGCAATTTGATTGTAGAGGGAAAAATGTATTTGGTCTGCTTGCTGTAAGAACTAGAAAAGATTGAAAGTTGTAGACTGAGTTGTTTGCACAATGACATTATCTGACATTCCAAGTAAGCTCAGAGCAAAAGAATGAAAGAGAGTTCTATCATTCAAATTATTAGTAGTGAGTCGGGACTTTCTTTACGTTTTTGTAGTCAATTTAAGTGAAATAGCTTAGTCTTCTTTTTCACTTATTGTATTATGGTAACACCCTCCTCCCCCCCGCCCTCCCCCCACACACAAAGCAAGTTTTCACTGTAAGGCATACTAGACACATTTTCCCTAAACTCTCAATGAGCCAGCTTCAAAGTTCAGATGGTGATAGTTTCCTCTTACATTTTTGCATTATTATCATTTTCTAGGAAGGGAATGCTATTCCACTTGCTCCCACAAAGCATAAGAACAGTTAGCTCTCTTTATCTTGCTGCTTATTCGCTTATTCTTCTTCTGAAACACCAGTTTTAAAATTCCAAGTCATTTCAGTGTCTGTCTCTTTCATTTATCAAATCTATGTAGTAATCATTGAGGACACAGGGAGGAATTCTGTTATTGGTGGCTCCAAAGACCATTATCCACTTTCTACCTGCTAAAGACCACTAGTTAGCTTTACCAAGACTCCATTCAGCTTTACTGGAAGGTTTACTCTAACCAGCTTCTGCTGCTGAAAAGTAAATATATTCTTGCAATTGAAATTTTTTTTTCAGATTCTGGGGCTCAAATTAATTTCTTCTCTATCATCTGGATACATCTGTGATTTTTAGTGCCTTACTTTGATCACACAAGCATACCTCAATCTCTAGGTCTTCATAAAATGCCATTCTGGTATTTCCACAGTATTTTCAATAGTTCTTTAACTAAAACAACTACATGGAAAGATTTAAAATGTACTGATTGCTAAAGAAAAATGATTTTCTATTTTGAAACCATTAAATCAACTACTTTTACATTTGTTTGACAAAATTAGCTGTTTTAATTTATGTTTTATATGTAGAATTTTAATTGTGATATCCTATTAAATTAAGGCTTGTTTCATGGGTCCTAGTAAATTCTTACTTAAGGACCCAAATAGCTATCAAACTTATTTAATCTCTTGCTTCCTTACATATGATAACATTAATTACATTATTCAAATTACAATCTACTAGACATTCCTAGTGGATGGTCTTAGAAGTTTGGGATATGGTTAGGATTTGAATAGGAAAGAAAATAAACTAGTAGGGAAGGAGACAGCATTTAGGTTTGAGGGGTAGAAAAAAAGAGAGAAGAATCTATTAAGTGACATATATCAAGTTACTCTTCATTATCTTCATGGCTATCCTGTGTATCCTCTCATAACTCATAAATTCTCAGGGTTATTTTAGAATTCTTACATTTTTGGAAACTTCTGGACTGCCACCTACTGGGAAATCTCGCGTCTTTCCTTTGTGGCTTTTCCACCCTTGCAGTTTGGTGAGCAGGAGGGAGTGGTGCCCAGTGGTTTCTTCACTCTGGTAGCTCAGCAAGCGGGAGGGAATGTTACAGGTTTTTCATTCCCGCAGTTCAGTGAGTTTCAATTTCTAGTCTTGTGACCAAGAGGAATGAGGTATGCAGACACTGGAGAATGAGTAAGGCAGAGTAGAATTTTATTGAGCAACAGGAAGAATGCTCTCAGCACCGAGAGGGGACCCGAAAGTGGATTGCCAGTTAAGAGGCTGAATCTGGGGTTTTTATGGGCTTAGAATGGGGAAACGTATGCTGATAGGTTTATGAATAGGCTTGGAAAAAGCAACATTTAGAAAGAGGTATGATAGTGTAAAGAACCAATGCAGGGCTGAAGTGAAGATCCCGGTACTAATCAGGGGCTGAGTATACCAAACAAGAATGGAAGTTCTCAGTCTGGTCCATGGACTCCATCTGGAGCTCGTAGTTTGGTGTTCAGACTTCACACTGTCCTTGACTTGAAGGTCAAGTTTCACCAGGAACCCCTCCCTGTCCACCTGGGAACTTGTCTGCCTCCTATCGCTATCATTTGTGTACCTGTAGTAGAGCCTCACTTACCTATTATGATCAAGCAATGGATTTTTCCATATAAGTGAATTGTCCTGATAATTTATCACTACAAGAACTATTAAAAATCATTCTTTTTTAAAAGAGATGTGGTGTCACTATTTGGCTCATGTCGGACTTGAGCTTCTGGGCTAAAGGGATGGTCCAGCCTCAGCCTCCAGAATAGATGGGGCTATAAGCA
The DNA here is from genome assembly GCF_000001405.40 of Homo sapiens. NCBI lineage: Eukaryota > Metazoa > Chordata > Mammalia > Primates > Hominidae > Homo > Homo sapiens. Next base: position 14,530,719 of record NC_000008.11, on the reverse strand, counting down.
AGCACTACTGTGCCAGGCATATAATCATTCTTGATAAAAATATTTTAACTTATATAGTTCTGAAGTCATTTAACTGGTTTTTGATGATTCATTTTACTTTTAAAATATTCAGTAGTGAACCATACAGTGTTACTGCTGTGTGCCAATCTCATTGTACTTTCAAAGAAGTTACAAGAGCACTCCTGTATGTGATACATTTAAATGATGGCCAGACATTCAAGAATGCTCTAAAATGTGAATATGAAGGCAGAAATACTCAGAAAATACTTGATCAATCTAATGAAAGTATTATCAAATAAAAACATGATCAGACAGATAAGAGTCTTCATGACAGAAAAATAAAGTTTAAATTATAAATAATAGTGTTATTGTTTGTTTGATGTATGATCTGTGAGAAAGTCATAAGTTAAAAAATTTTCATATAAGATCACTTATATTTTGAGACTGACTAGAGGACCAAAAGGCATTACTCTATTTTAGGGTAGTATATTTTTTTTAAAAAAAATTTCCCTATAATTTTTAGCTTAGGCCTCTTAAGAATAGATATGTAATTTTACTGAGAGTTCAGATGATTATCTGTAATACCATAATACGCAAATGCATGGTTTTGTATACTGGAAAATGTGGAAATATTTATTTAGCGTCTTTCAGATTAAGGATTTGGCAGATTAAGGATGTTTAAATATTTGAATTTGTTTATGTGTTAAAAGCCTAAAGTCAGTCATTGTGTATTATGCAGCACTTGTGCATTCTTAATGTATAAAGTAATTTTTCTTTAATTGCAATGCCTGATAAACTCAAATGGATCCAATTTCAAAGTGCATTGCATATTTTAGAAATGTGTTTCAACAAATGCACACTAATATATTTAAATTTTATTATCTTTACAATAAAGATGAGAATAAGGGGCTGCTTAAGGAGTTAAGTCAAAAGAGTTTATCAAGGACTCCAGAGAAGCATTTTAAGGAGGAAGATAGACATACAGTAGTTGCTAAAATTGTGCTATTTGTCCTGAGAGACATACTTAACCTTCAGATCTCATGAAACACTGATAGAAATATTAGGGCAAAACTAGGGAATTTCTCTTTTTGTAATATGGGTACATTAACATAAAACCTCTCCATTGCATACCCAAATGCTTTCCTATGTAGGTGTGATCATGGAAAGTACAATCCTAGATGAGGGCTAATGTATCTTACTGGAGTTCACTACCAAGCTGATTGAAGTTGACAGCCCTGTGCTTGTTGCAAAGAAAGCTTCATGGGGAGTTAGGAACAGATGCTAAACAATGTGGCACATTTGCTTTCATGCTGATCACGCATGCCAGCCCCTGGCAGTCTTTATGAGGTCAGAGGATTGGTAAAATTGTAGTCAGCAGGAATACAGGGCATATAAGTAGAAGGAGTCAAGCAGGTGTGCTGGAATGAGTTAGGTATGGGCTTTCCCCAGGTGTGTCTTACTTGCCCTTCAGCATATGGCTGTAGGATCATAAGGGGAAAAAACTAAAGCTCAAATAATTCAATCCAAATCATGCAAGTACTTATGACTTTATATGTGTTGAATATGAAGTGGACATACATGCTGAACTACACATGTGCTGGACTTAATATTTCTTTATAAAAATAATGATTGGTCATAAAAGTGGTTGATGAGCGATGTAGATCAGTATGAAGGAGAGAAATATGTTGATGAGAAAGAATTGAATAGGATCATAAGCCATTTTTGGTTTAGTTGGTTGTCATTTTCTAGGTCTCAGCTGATTCATCTGTAAAATTAGGATATTGCAGTGGATGATGTCTGAGATCCCTTCTAAATATGAAAAAAATGCTTCTTTTATAAATTTGAAGATTTTGGCACTTTCTCTTTTTTTGTTTTTGTTTTGTTTTTTTTTTGGCTGGTCCGTGATGTTGTGTTATTACCTAAGACAGTAGTGCAAGGAATTAAGTGGTTATTAACTGGGAGGAAGGAGGCAGCCCAGAAATAGAAATTGGGCCAGGGCAGAGAGGGAGGACAACCTCAGCTTCTTCCCGCTGCAAGTATCAGTTTTCTCATATAAGTGATTAATGGAAGTTGATTCTGTAGTTTGGTTATGTTGGAACAGGGGATTTGGAGGATCAAACTGACAACCACAGAGAAAGTCTATTTTAAATAAAAGAAAACTAAGGCCCAGAATGGCCAACGAGACTTACTCAATGTCACAAAGCTAGGTGTAACAAAGTTGGACTTTTTATGGCATTTATTTGGTACATATAACTCTATACCATGCTGCTTCCTTTAATGTTTTTGAGATTCTGAACTAAGAGAGGAGTAATCTGGAGTGATGTGAACACGCATACATATTGTTTAGTATAATCTTGACATGACACAGTTACTGAAGTCCTGTCCTGTCTTTTTAATCCGTCGCATGCTTTCTCATATCCCAGATGGTATAATTCATGTGTAACTTTGTCATTGTCAAAAATTGATACTGCCTTCTTTCCCAAACTTGAGAAGATTCTGCATTTACAATGGATTCTTCGGTATGTAGTAAATAATTTGGTATCAATCTATTTTTTTATGTTTCTGTTCTGTATGAAAACATACAACATAGAGGACTCTAAACAGAAGTATTATGTGTACAAGTAAGGTCTACATTTGAATCTAGTTTGCTGAGACTAAGAAATTAGATCAACATATGAGATGACTGAGGCATCACCTCCCATCTGTACTATTAGCTAATTTTGAAACATGTAAGTTCACTCATATGATAGATAAACTCACAAGTGTTCCTGCTCACAGTATGTTTTTGCATGGTATTACTCCCCCACCTCCCACTTTTTTTGGACTATTTTACTAATTTATAGAATACTCATAAAGAAACTCAACAATGATCACCTCAGCAATATGAGAGCCTAAGAATTGTTATGGACATGGGTTACTCAATAGGACTGGCTGAGATGAAGAAATATACTCTAATCTGGGGCTGTTAGACGCAGTGGTAATTAACACATGTGCTTATTGAGTACTTACATGTTACTAGCATGATGGAGGAACTGAATTTTTTGGTTTAATTTCATTTTAATTAAAATTTAAGCTTAAATAGTCATGTGTACCTTGTGGCTACCACTGCCAGCAGCATAATGACAATGACATCATGGCGTGGCATTTTTAAGGGCTATTGATGTTTTTTTAAAAAAAGGTGAATATTTTAAATGCTTACTCACCCTGGGCAAAATAGTGAGAACTTGTCACTACAAAAAATAGTTTAAAAATTAACAAGGGTGTGGTGGCAACATCTGTAGTCCCAGCTACTTATGAGGCTGAGGCGGAAGGACTGCTTGAGCCCAGGAGTTTGAGGTTGCAGTGAGCCATAATCGCGCCACTGCGCTCTAGCCTGGATGACAGAACAAGACCCCACCTATCAAACAAACAAACAAACTGAAAAACAAAATGCTCCCAACAGGAATTACACAGCATGGAAAATACATACCTCATCATATCTACTGATAATTTCATATTTACTGAAGCTTGTTTCATATTAAACATATTAATACTTTCTTTTCTAGTCTGATTTGCATAGTGTGTGAAAAGAAGAGCTGGTAACCTTGGAAGAGTATGCCACGAATTTTCTTAACTTCATGTCACATGTGAAATTCATACACATGCTAGTGAGGGCTGGGATCTTTTTATATTAAGAAGGCATTGACGAGATGTCTCAGAATATTGAGAAAGCGACTCAATATTAAATATTTAAAAATATTAATTGGTACAAGTCGGCAGTTGTCTGTTGTCGTGCCCAGTAGATAACTAGTTAACAATCTTCTTTGCAAAAGTCCCTGCAGCCACCGACCGTCTTTTAAACTAAATTTGATCACATAGTGGAATTTGCTAGAAGCTCAGTTTTGTGTATGTGGTACGAATCTGTCATAGATAAATTCTCCTGTTTCAGGATAAGTAGAGAAGACATAAACCTCTGCAGAAGAATGAAGTACGCACACTAGGAGTTGATGTGATATGCATTTCACACTCTCAGAACAATGAAACTACTAGAAACAGTCAACAGCTTTACTGAAATATGCCCTGAGTAACAAAAAGATTATAAGAAATCAAGAAATGCACTAACATGAAAAATAGATATGTATTTTTTGTTCAAAGGTAAATAATTTCCTATCAATTGTGTAGAAATAAATATAATCAAAGAAGGAGTATACAATGTGTGCTTTAACTTTGAAAACATTGTAATTCAAACTTAACATTGTTATAAATAATGTTTTTTAAAAGGTATGTTTATAATTTCCCATGTAATTGAGCTGTTCGTACAACAGTAGCCTAATCATTTTTGTTAAGCTAATATTCTAATCTTTGGGACGGCTGTCATCAAATAGAAAAGAACTCTGACTATTGCCACATCGATAGTGAAATTTTGCCATATACTGACAGACCTAGAAATAGACAAGAGGCATAACATGTCAACATATCAAAGTTATGTAAACATTTTATGATTTCTCATAACATTGCTGTCAAATATTACACTTATGTAATATTGGCTTCAGGCATGAGAAATTATGGTTGCTAAATTGTATAGGTGATAAAAACCATTAATTAGCTTAAATTTGTTTTTATAAGAAGAACTACTCTATTGTGCACTTTCAGCAAAGTTTCTGTAAGATATCAAAATACTTTTTCGAATATGGATAGGTAAAATATCTTACAGAAAACAATTATTACAGAAACCTAATACTACTACTGCTTTTTTTTTTCTTAACTGAAGGTTTGCTTAGACTATCTCTAACTTTGGCACTTGTATGTTCACTATACTTATACTGAGAAATAAGTAAAATACTCTGCATCGTATTTTTGTTCTGTGAATAATGATGCCCCAGGACTGCATGTCTAGTTTCTGCAGTGCACTGTGTTCATTTACATCCTGTGCCTGTCTGGCTAGCTCCTACAACCTGCTACCTCTCTTAAAGTTTATTGTAATTTAACAGTGATTGATCTGCTTAACGTTTGAAATAAGCTTGAAGACAATACTTCTTCTTTGCAAAGGCCCACTAATTTGGTTTAAATTTTCTTTTTAGTGTGTTAATGTTTTCTTTTATTTGATGTGACTAGGTCAAGAAGTATATATGAGTGGAGGTATGTGCAACTAAATTGAAATTGCAGAGAGTGGGATCTCAAATGAGAAATATATAATCTTTCTCATGATCATGGCAATTGTCTTTACATGAAAATGATATTGCTTTAATATTTTTCAATTAATAATGATATATTAAAAGTGTCACCGAAAGATGAAAACAAAGTATAACATACATAATAATCTTTTTTAAAAGAAATATTCAATTGCTTCCAAATTCTTGGAATCATCTCCTTAGAAGACAGAACAAAACATTATTTTTAGTCCAGGAACACAGGATGACAGGAATATCTATCTCAAAGAGCAGGGAGCAAAGGAAAGTAGGCAATTGAATTTCCAGGTTTCACCTGGCTAAAGATGAACCTATTTTTGTCACTTGATAGTGGAAACATCTGTCTGTCTGTCTGTCTATCTATCTATCTATCTATCTATCTATCTATCTATCTATCTATCTATCTATGTGTCTATCTATCAATGTATCTATCTATCTATCATCTGTCTATGTGTCTATCTATCTATGTGTCTATCTATCTATCATCATCATCATCTATCTCTCTACCTATCAATCTTTCTATCTGTGAATAAAGGACAAAACCTCTAGTCAGAATAGTGGTGAGGCAAAGAGACACTTGAAATAGTAATTAATGTTTTGAACTCTCTGAGAAGGAAGCTTGACAGTGGACCCAGAATTTGGAGCAGAAAAAGACCTGGACCAAACATGTCAGAATTATATTACTTTCAGACATGCTACAGTTATTTGCTTTAAAAAAAACAAAAAGGAGATATATGCAATGATTATTGAAATCCATTATACAGACTTCCGCTTCCAGGAAGATGGAGAAGAAGCACTTTTCCTTATTCCTGCCACTAAGTACGATTAAAAACCGTGCAGAGAAGGTTTGTTCAAAGGTAAATAATTTCCTATCAATTGGTTAGAAGTAAATATGATCCAAGAAGGAGTATATGTGTGCTTTAGGTTTGAAAATATTGTAATTCAAAGGTATCATTGTTATAAATAATGTTTTTTAAAATGTATGTTTATAATTTCCCATGTAATTGAGCTCTTCGTACCTTTGTAGAGGACTGAGTAGGAGGCTGACTGGGACTTTCTTTCTTGCCTTTTGGGAAGGAGACCCCTACTACAGTATCACTGAGGGTCATATAAAGAGCAGCAGCCAAGAACTTCAAACCTTCTCCACTAGGAAGCTGTCACTGGAGACCTAGCCTAGTGTGGACGTAGATTCCCCCACCCGAATCCAGGAGCAGTGAGAACTTTGCCTCGGGTTTCAATGGACAGGATCCTGGACTTCCACTCCTGCCAGGAATCAGTAAGGCAGCACATACCCGTTCTCTTGCTCTTGTGGTGCCAGAGGAAAAAAAAAAAACTAAAACAGAAAATTGAAACAGAGCCTTGTAGCCAATAACATACTAGCCCAGATGATCAGGTTTTAGTACAAAATCACTCATGTTATGAATATTCAAGAAGATGTCAAACTGAATGTAAAATAATCACTAGATACCAACTTTGCCTTTACATGTGTAGTTTTACCTGACAAAAATGTAATAAAAGAAGTAAACTCAATGAATGTTTTCAACAGCAGAATGATGAGTACATAAGAAAGTATCAGTAAACTCAAAGATAGAAGAATGAAAGGGAAATTAGAATTAATCAGTAAACTCAAAGACAGAAATTACCTAATCTGAGCAATAGAAAGAAAACAGAGTAGGGAAAAAATAACAGAAGTTTAGGGACCCATGCAATTCAAACAATAGATCTATCATTCGTATCATCACTAGTTTTTAAAGGAAAGAAGAAAGTGGATGGTGCTGAAACTTACTGGAAGAAAGAGTGGCTGAAAACTTTTTAAATTTGGTAAAACAAAAACAAACAAAAAACATATACTTACATATTCAACAAGTTGAACAAATCTAAAATGTGGAAAATTCAAAGAAATCTAAAGCTAGACACAAACAGGCAAGCTTCTAGAAAGTAAAAACCAAACAAAAATAATTTATAAAAGCAATAAGAGGGAAATAACACCTTATCTGTAGAAGAAAAGAAGAATATGAATGACAGATTTCTCACCAGAAACCGTCACGACCAGGAGAAAGTGGTATAGTATTTTTACATTTCTGAGGAATAAAGAAGAAAAACTTAAACTAGAATCCTGTTTTGACTTAAAACATCACTCAAGAATGTAGAGAAATTTAAGACATTATCAGATGGAGGACAAAATGAAGAAATATTCTCTAATAAATCTATCCTAAAGGAGTGGCTAAAGGTAGTTCTCTAAGTAGAAATAAAATAATAAAAGGGAAATGAAAATATCAAGAGTAAGAATGAACACTGTAAGTAATAATATTGGTAAGTTTAATAGATTTTCCCATCTTTTCTAGAGTTTTCTAAATTATATTTTATGGATGAAGCAAGAATTACAACACTCTCTAAAGTGGTTCTAAATGTAAGCGGGAGAGATATTTAAGACAATTTCATTATAAATAAGGAAAGGTAAGGGGATATACAGGGAGGTAAGTTTTCCACACTTCATTCAAACTGATAAAATACTGACAGTAGTAGAATGTGGTAAGTTCTGTATATAGTTTTCAGAGTAACCTCCAAAATATTATACAAAGAGATGCACTAAAAATTAATATAGATAAATCAAAATAGAATAATAAAAACTAAAAGACAACATAAAATATTTTCTGAAACTCATTAAAATAATATTGAGAAGAAAATTTATAATACTAAGTGACTAGGTTAGAAAAAAGATCCCATATGAATAATTTCAGCTCCTATCTCAGGATTCTAGAAATGAAGAGGAAAATAAGCCTACAGAAGCAGAATGAAGGAATTTAATCAATTTTAACATGGTTAAAATGAATGAAATTGAAAATGGAAAAAAATAAGAAAAAACAAATGAAAAGACAGTTGTATTTTTTAAAAAAAATGACAAAATTGAAAATTTCTAAGAAGACTGTCCAAAAAAATGAGAGAGCGAAGACACAAGTTTCCAATATAAGGAATGAAATGATATCACCCTGGGCTCTGCAGACATCAAAAGGATAAAAAAGGAAATAATAGAAGCAACTTTCCACACAACTTAGTTGAAATAGACGAATTATTTTAAAAACTCAAACTATCATACCTCACCCAAATTGAAACAGCATATTTGAAGAGCCGTAAGGAAATTGAATATTTAATTTGCAAATATCACCAATAAAATATCTTGTCCAAAGTGATTTCACTGAAGATTTCACTAAATATTCAAAAAAGAATTAACAGGAATTCCACATAATCACTTCCAGAAAATAGAAGAGGGAACACACTATTATTAACCTGATAACAAAACCAGACAAAGACAGCGCCAAAAACTAAAACTACAAACCAATATCCCTTATAGAATATAGACCACAAAATTTAGAGCTAAATGTTAGCAAAGAGAATTCAGCAAAATTTAAAAAGCATTATGCACCATGAGCAACTAAGGTTTCTACCAGGGACTCAAAACTGGTTCAATATTTGAAAATTAATCATGTAACCTACCAGGTTAACTGAGTAAAGATGAAATATCGCTTGATCATATTTGTGAAAGAACATATTTAGAAAAAAACATTTTAAAATTTCTGCACACATCCATGATTAAGCCTCTCAGAAAAGGAGTAATAGAGAGAAACTTCCTTAAATTGACGTACAGCATCTACAGCAAACTTACAGCTAGCATTATGCTTGATGGTGAAAAATTTAATGATTTCCTCCTAAGATCAGGGACAAAGTAATGATAACTACTCTCATCACTCTTATTCAACATAGTGTTGGACCATTCATGGAGTATTGGTGGCAATGTAAAATGGAACAGCCGTTCTAAATTGATATAGCCGTTTGGAATATTTTTTCAATGAAATTAACCATCTAACTATCACATGACTCAGTTATTCTACATCTGGGCATTTATCCTTGGTAAATGAAGACAAAAACCTGTACATGAATGTTGACAGCAGCTTTGTTGGTAATTGTTAAATTTTGGAAACAGCTCAAATGTTTATCAATAGATTGATGGTTAAACAACTGGGTACATTGGCACTGTGGAATATGAATCAGCAGTAAAAGGGAATGAACTATTTTTTTAACTTTTATTTTAAGTTCAGGGGTACAAGTGCAGGTTTGTTACATAGGTAAACATAGGTTTGTGTCATGGGAGTTTGTTGTACAGATTACTATCAATACACACAAGGACCTGGAGGAATCTCTGGAAAATTATGCTAAGTGAAAAAAATCCAATTCCCCGAAGTTATATTTTAATGATTTGAATTATTAACATTTCTGAAATGACAAAAATATATAAATAGAAAAGAGATTAGTGGTTGTCAGGGATCATGGAGTGGGTGCAATCAGGCAGGAAGCAGATGTGGCTGCAAAGGGCAATGTGAGGGATCCTTCTGGTGATGGAAATATTCTACCTCTTTACTATTCAATGTCAGTATCCTGGCTGTGTTTTCTGTTATAGATTTACAAGATGTTACAATTGGGGGAAGCTGAGTACGATGTACACGGGAATTCTCTCTTATCTTATGACTGCATGGGAATCTAAAATAATTTCAAAACAAAAATTGTAATTAAAGCAATTATATACTGCTATCTTCTTGATTCTATGTTTTACTATTGCTAAGATTAGTGATTAAGTTTATAGCAAATGCAAACATGCTTGTTATATAACGTTGATTTTTTTAAGTACATCCTAAAAATGTGCACTGTTATTAGAGAGCGTGAGAAAGAATGCTCTCTCATTTTAAATATAATAAATGATAATGTTCAAAGAAGGTGACAATTAGCATAAGATTCCTTTTGAATGTCAGATTTTGCTTCTGCAATGATGGAAAATAATCCATTCTAAAGTGTATTATGCATACTCTGAGTTCTATTTTTTAATCACTTCTCTCTTTTATTTTCACACAGAAATATATTGTGCCCTTATCCCTGCTTCATTCATGTTGTTAAGTGATTATTATATGGCAATTATTTTTTCAGTACAATTAAATCTAGGGAGGAAATTGATGTGTTTTATATTATTTCCCTTGCAGAATTGTTACATTTTAAAATATATTTGGGGTCCTAAAGCCAGCAGTATGCCAAGAGATATGCTAAAGCATTGGTTTCTTACACTCTGTCCAAATTAAATTTTAATGTTATTAACTGTTTCAGTTGCCACAGATTATAACATGCCCAAGTTTTACTGGGCTGGTATGAGCTACAACCATTGTGAATTGTAATAGCTGCTTCCAGGAACAAAAAATTCCTGTGTTGAGGCCATGATTAGAAACCCTATGGCTGCCAGATAGCACTTCAGCATATCCTTTCCCCAGTGTTCTGTACTCATTGAGAAAAAATAATATTTTGTTTTAGTAGTTCCAATGCATTCTTACATAGTGTGAACCAAATTGCAACTTGCTAATGTATTGTATACCTTAGAGGACTTGGCAGGATGTATTATAAATCAAGCTGACTATAGCTTGTCATTGTGGAATGATTGTTACTCCTTTATTTGTTATGAAAATATATTTCTCATGGTTAAATATATCATTTTTAAAAAAAAGTTTTAAAAGATGAATTAACTTAATATTTTTACAATCAGCACTTATTGAATAAATTTAATAATTTAAACCATGGTTTATGTTGGTAAATTGAGATACGACATAACCACTCTACCAGAGGTTAAGGTTGAAGTGTGTAAGACACACAAGTAGAAGCACAAAACACGATCAGTGGTATGCCACGCTTTATTTTAAAATGTTAGAAAGTGTAACAATGAAATAACATTTTTCTCATGATTACTTTCAACAAAAACCAATATATTCTATGCAAAACTTGAAAAATAAATAATGGAGTATGAGAAAGATTATTGCAGATAAATGAACAGCCGAGACTGAGTTTTCAAGACATAAATATACACGAAGAAAGGTAGAGAGGCCAGGAAATATTCTTCCATTCTTCATTGATTCTTAGCACACTACCCATCACTAACATTTTCTAATACCGTAGAAGATTTTTCAGAAAACTAATATGTTTAAATATATAAAGTGTTTTTTAACATGAACGTTGCAATGTATCTTTTCTCTTGATGTTCATAAGACATTATATTATAGTTTATCTTATTAAAAGTAGAGAGTTAATTAGAAATATGTCAGTAATACATTTTTCATTTTTTCATGCCAAGGAAACTTTTCCATATTTCTTCATTACAAAGTTTTATTTTAGTTGCTGGTATGGCATGTATTTTATCACTTCTGCTCTGCTGAAAATAGATCCAGGAAGGAGATCCATTTTGATACTGCACATAACTGTAGTTACTTGTAGGTAAGGTTTAAGAAAACAGCTTCCAGAGCAGCAAGAATCAAATCAGCATTCTATTCCTACCTGCACTGTTTATTCATTTAAATTTCATTTTTGTGCTTAATTGATCTAGTAACTTATAAGAACTAAAATCATGAAGAAAATGCAGGCACTATATATCTCTGTCTTTTTTTTTTTTTTTTTTAGACAGAGTCTGACTGTCTTGCTCAGGCTGGAGTGCAGTGGTGCGATCTTGGCTCACTGCAAACTATGCCTCCTGGGTTCAAGCGATTCTCCTGCCTCAGCCTCCCAAGTATCTGGGACCGCAGGCATGTGCTACCACACCTGGCTAATTTTTGTATTTTTTTTTTTTTTTTTGGTAGAGATGGGGTTTCGCCATGTTGGCCAGGCTGGTCTCGAACTCCTGGCGTCAAGTGATCCTCCTGCCTTGGCCTCCCAAAGTGTATATCTCTCTATATTATCTGTTTCTCTGACTGTCTGTCTGTCTGCCTATCTAATCTTGATGGGTGATAAGGGATTAGGATAGCATGTCTTTTACCACACTGCAACTAAACTGTACTTAATAACGTTCTATTTTCTTATATGTAACCTGATTGATGGAAAGCTGCCAAAAGTAAGTCAATGAAAGAAAAGACTTGTGGATGTAGGTAGGTCTCCATTCAAACCCAGTAAGGAATTCTAGACAAAGTTCTATTTTATTTCACAATAAATTTTAATGTATATTAACTGATTTTCCCAAATTCTGCAATCTGCTACCATATCACATTATAATAAGTGGCATGTTGAAATAAAATGTTTGTCAATATTACACATGGAATAAAGATTGGTCCATATATGAAAATAGGCCGATATTTATTCCATGTGTAATATTTATTTTATACGTGTAGTGTATGTATACACACATACATACACACTAGCATACAATGTAAGATCTGCAGGGACATATAAATATTAGAATATGTCATTTTCTTTGTTGATTAGCATATTTTCAGGTGTTAGCTTTTGAAATCCAACAATAGCAAGCTTTATATTAATAGGTAATTATTTTATTAAAAATCTTCCCTTACGAAGTATTTTATTAAAAAATTTAAACCTTACTGGGATGAAATATATTTTTAGAGAGAGAAGAAAAAATCTATGAGCAAATATATTGCTATCTGTAGACTATGCACTTTCATTAACAATAACCTTATTGCTTAAAAAACTATTTTCTCAGAGTTTTAATATATAATATAAAAAAATCAAAATACACGTTCAATAAACTTATGCAATAAAGTTAAATCAACAAATAAATCATAGAAATGTTTATTTAAAGAGAAAAATATGAGAAGAAACAAACACTTATGAAAAATAGGGGATAAAATTGTCATCAAAAAGAGATTTAAAAATATGATAATACTACATAAAATGTGTTCAATTAAATCAAAATATAAATGGAAATCATGACTTTTCAAAAAAAGCTATCAAAAATTATATCATGAAGAGCTAAAAGCATGAATATACTATTAATTATGGTCAAAATTGAAAATATTATCAAGCAATATCCCCTAAAAATGCGTATGCCAAAAAACATTTTAAAAGCTTTTCAAAAATTTACCAAGATTTTCAACGAGCAGTTAATTTCTATATTTTGTAATAATTTCTAAACTCTATAAAAAATATAAAGCTTCTTAATTTATCTGGCATATAAGAAAACTAAAGCACATTCTTGCAAACATAGATTTAATAATACAAAGTTAAAGGCCTATTTTAGCACTTTGTTAAAATGACTCTACCTTACGATCAAATGGAAATTATTCTAGGTTCACAAAGTTTCTTCATATGGACTTAAATTATTATGTCTCAAAATATAGAAAGAATAGAATGCTCAAGTGTAGTTTATTAGATGTTACAAAGTTTGCTGCACTAAAATGAAAGAGATCATGTAGCTCCTACATTAACTTGGGCCCTTAAAGATCTTGCCCAAGTTTAGTTTTAAGTCCCTTAGAGTCAAAGATGTTCTTATGATAAGTTCTTGTGACTTACTTCCTTAGTTTTGGCATTTTTTTGTTTGTCTTCCAAGCGCCATCATCCCCTCATGTCACATTTATTTCTGTGATGATCTGAAGGCAGGACTTAATCTCTTAATTGTGTTATCATACATTGTTTTGTACAAGAAATCTGTTTCCGTCACGCATTACGAAGACTTATTGAAAATTTACGAGTCATAGGGGGAGAATCACTGTGCACTACAACCTCTTGACTTCCTGGTTCCTGGCTCCACCCTTGTATCTATTTTCTTGTTCCTTAAATTTTAATAGCAATTAACAAATCCTCCAAGTATTTCAAGGCAGCAGTGTTTCCATATACTCTTGGTGTCAGCTTGTTGTTTCTATATAAAATAGTTATCAATAATCAACAAAAAGTTCCCTCAATTTATAAAATGTTAACAGTGAACAAAATTTACTCAGTGTCAGTACTTCTGGATGGCACAGATTTAATAGTTTCAAAAGGTGTTCCCAGTCTCCATAGCAGCTAATGATGAAAGACGCATGTCAACGGTGAACAAGAAAAACTCACTTCATATGAAAAACAGTTAGAGCAAATCAACTTTATGGGATGCTTTTTAGGAATAGTACCAAACAAATTTTCCTGATACCTAGATTCACAGCTTCCTTAAAATTGCTGCAGTGGTCCAGGTGTTTGTGAAAAGAAACAGGTCATGTAGAAAACGTAGATAGACCTAGAAAAAAACAGTAACTATTTTTTTAAATCCATTTGATTTGTCCTACAGTTTGAGGAAATTATTCTCTGATGCTATTAAATTGATAAATGTGTCTTAGATTTTATTTTGGATTTTCACCCTTTTTTATGCCATATAGGTATCCCCCTTGTAAGTGAAAGCTAAATAATAAGAACTTATTAACACGAAGAAGGAACAACAGACACAGGTCCTCCTTGAGGGTGGAGGGTGGGAGGAGGAAGAGGAGCAAAAAAAAAGTACCTACTGAGTACTGCGATTAATAGCTTGTTGTTGAAATAATCTGTACAGCAAACCTGATTACCATGAGTTTACGATGTATCAAACCTTCACATGTACCCTCAAACCTAAAGTAAAATGTTTACAAAAAAGAAAAAAACCACAGACATAGAAAAAAAAAGAGAAGTTTCATCATGATCATACTGCCAAGTGCCATTTTTAAATCAGTCCACACTATGTCTAACAATAATCCATGAGACAGTGAATTTAACATGTAATTCTTAAATTAAAAAAAAACTATTTCTTCCTAATTATTGCTTACTAAGTTATTTCCAACAAGGTATTGCTTACTGGATCATAGGAGCAAATTGAAAAGTAAAAGATGATATAACAACGTATTGAAATATACTCAAAATCATTCATCTTTAAAATAAAACTAAGCAAAGCACTTATCTAATTGAAAAAGACTAAAACTTTATGCAATAAATGATGTAGGCAAAGGTGCTAGAAAATTGGCTCACTCAGCTACCATTATTGGAAGTGTAATTCAAAGTGTTCACCTTGAATTTCAATGGACAACTTTCGTCAATATTTTAAAGCACGACACAGGTCTCAAAGACCCAGAAATTTTCACTCACATAAACTTACAGATAGACAAAATAACACTTATGATGTTTATTGCATTCTGCTTTACATTTCAAATAGTTATAAATAAACTAAAAAGTATTAACAAGACAAATTACATCTATTCAAATAGATATTGTGAAAGAAATAAGGTACTTGACTATATAGAAATATTCACAGATTTGTTGAATAATAAAGATATAGTGTTATGTTAGAAACCAAGATACATATTGATGCGTATGTTGTCTTATTCTGGATATATGAAGCACTTGATATCCCTCCTGCTATTGAAACTTTCTAAAAATGCTAAATATTTAAAAATAGCTTTTCTATAAATGTTGTGACTTACAGGATAGTATCTGAAAACCTCTGAGGCAAAAATACAGCAGGAGCACAAACTTAAATAAGTCAGTGAGTGCAGAAACCATCCAGTTGCCCTGGATACATGTATTAATGTCAGTAGCCTAGAAGTTCAGTTTTATTGGAGGAGGAGTGACATGTAAAGCAATGGTAATGCAGTCAGGGAGCAGAATCAGGTGTCTTAACCTAGAGCTGGCTGTAAGCAAGGAGGGATGAGGAAAGGCCTATTTTCCCTAGAGCAAAGTTGACATTTACACATACTATGTTTATGGTTGCAGGCCCTATAAAATATACTTGATGTAATTTAATATTTTGTCTTAGAAAACAAGCAATTATAATCGGAATTGGATGCTGTTCACTTGAAATATTCTACTAGTCATTCCCCTATGGTGTAACATAATAGAAAGAACAAATGGAAATAAAGTAATATTTTCGTAATTTCTGTCTATGGGTTCATATATGCAGTGTGTGTGTGTGTGTGTGCGTGTATATATACACACACACACACACACACACACACACACATTTACATATATGTATATAAATTTACACATACTTACATATATTTACATATATGTAAATATGTTTATATATGTAAATGTGTGTACATATATGTAAATATATACGTATATATATTTACATATATATGTAAAGTCCAAAATATTTAAGCTGTAAAACCCTGAAATATAAATATATGTGAGAGATATATATTTATATAAATGTAATATATATGTATGAGAGGGAACATGAGAAAATTCATACACTGATGATAAAATTAAAGCAGAATATTGATTTCACCTCATGTACTAGCTATCAAATTCTTACCATATTCCTTAATGTATACATATTCTTCTCATTTGAGTTTTACACTAATTCTCTAAGTTATAAGAGATGTCGTTTTTCCTATCCTACAGATGAAGGACTAAAAGTCAAGGAAATTAAGTAGTTTGTTATTCAAGTAGTAAGTAGCAGAAACTGGCTTCAAAAATAAGCCTATTTATATCTGAAGTCACTTCTACTGCACCAATTTACCTCTCCATTTGAAGACATCTCTGATACCGTATCAAGTGCTTGCTTAAAATAATGCATTTCTAATGGCAGTGCTCTACACCAGAAGAGTTATCATTATAATGTTTTCTGTTTGGCATTTCACTAAGTAAAATATCACTGCTGTATATCTGGGTTTTCCAGCAAAAAAAGAAAAGAAAATCTTCTCAAAGGACTAACCTATGCTGCTATCACCAATGCAACTCCTACAGTGTTCTTATTATGCTCATCAAAGTCCAAAATATTTAAGCTGTAAACCCCTGAAATATTGCAAATATATCTCAGTTGGTTCTTAGTCAACAGCTTTCCAACTGACTCAAGGCTGGGTCTTTCAAGACCATTAAAGAAATAAGCAATGTTGTTTAGTTCACATTGTCCCCCAAAAAAAATGCACAGAGAGTAGTTACAAATGTCTTTTAGGCCATTGACATTTTCATAGAGGGAGGAAGATTCAAATACATTTCGATATATTGGGGCTGGTGCATATTTTAATTAAAATACGTTGCCAAACAAGAAGAAAAAGCCACATATTTCTGAAGGGGAGTTTTCTGAAGCATATTAAAAGGAACTGGTAATATTTATTTCCTATTAAATCACTAACAGTGTCCTTAATTGGACAAGTTTTAAGAACATGCATCAAATATGCATCTATTGGATTATCTCTTTCTTAGATAATTAAATAGACTGAAAGGGCTATAGATGAACACTCAGATCTAGAGTTGTTTTAATGTATATTATTAATTAGTTTAGAAATAGAAATATTTATGAATCAATTGGTCTAAAATAACCTGAAGTATAAAAATTTACAAATAAACTCTATGGACTTGTGAGTTGCTCTTTTATTTTGGTCTTTGAAAACAATTTTTCTCTAACACAACAGTATAGTAAAATGAAATACTTTTTCGTGTTTAAACTGGTAATAGTGGTTTGGCACTGTGGCTCATGCTTGTAATTCCAGCACTTTGGGAGGCCAAGGTGGGAGGATTGCTTAAGCCCATGAGTTCAAGACCAGCCTGGGCAACATAGGGAGACCCCTGTCTCTACAAAGAAAAATAGCTGGGAGTGGTGGAACATGCTTATAGACTCAGCTACTTGGGAGGCTGAGGCAAGAGGATTGCTTGAGCCTGGGAGGTCAAGGCTTCACTGAGCTTGATTGCACCACTGCATAAACCTGTGTGTTACTCTTCACTGTGAGACTATGAGACTTACTATGTATGCCTGAGCAAGGCACGAACAAGATTTGGAACTTTATCAGCTTTCCCGCATATATCCCTGAATAATTAGTGTGGATCTTTACTAACAATAGACATTATCAGGCTTCATTCCTCACTTACAGAATCAGAGTCCCCAGGGGAGGTAGCTGGGAGGATCTGTGTTTAACAAGCACACTAGAAGACTTATCTTCAATGAAACTTCAGAAGCACCAGGGTAGACAATTAATAAAGTTCCTTCAGGTTCTTAAATTCTAAAACTCTAAATATTAAATTTTGAGCATCTAGCCGGGTGTGGTGATGCACACTTATCGTCCCAGCCCATTGGAAGGCTGAAGCATGAGGATTACTTGAGACCAGGGGTTCAAACCAGCCTGGGCAACATAATGGGACCAAGTCTCCACAAAATAAAATAAAAAAAAAAATAGCCAGGTGTAATGCCTTGTACCTGTAGCCCTAGTTACTCTGGAGGCTGAGGCAGGAGATCACTTGAGTCCAGGAATTTGAGGCTGCAGTCAGCTATCGTCCTGCCACTGCACTTCAGCCTGAGCAACAGAGCGAGATCTTGTCTCTAAAATATAAATAAATAAATGGATTTGGGGCATCAGCTGTAATCTACATTAATACACAAGGAGCTATGGATGAAGAGGAAAAATACCAATGGAAAATAAACTAAGGCATACTGATAGGCAAGGAAGAATTTATGATAAGCTGGAGATCTTCATGGGTGTAATTGGTGTGATCTTCTTAAGGTATAAATAGATCTTCTTATATTTGCATTATTAATCACTCAGCTTCCACCTGCTTATGTTAATAGGCACTTCAGCGTCTTCCTTTTAAGGCCCACCATCAGGTTTCCAAGCATCCAACTTACTCAGATTATCTGTGGTCAGTACCATTTCCTAACAGAGTAGAAAATACTCAGCTCAAAAAATCCTCTGATAGGGCTAAGTTTTAGTTTTCATGGTGTCAGTTATTACTGTGGTGATGGATATTTGATAGTCTAGAAAATTTCACATCCAAGAATGTTGCCCTATGTTTAAAACCCTAATTTTATAGCTTTGTTTATCCTCCAGAGTTCAGCTATTATTTCCAACCTTTATTATATAAAATCTATAAACCTTTCAAATTAAAAAATTGTTACTAATAATCTATAGACTATGTTGGTGGTACCCAGATGTAATCAAGGGATACCCTGTCCTTTAAGAGTTAAAAACAACAAGCCTAACCTAGCAAATATCCTGAAATTCCAGAAGAGTTGGTGGGGAATTTGGGAACTACAGTAACTTTGGCTATACAATCATACTTAACAACTTGGATTAATTTAATTATAGGATTTTTAACGTCCTTTTCTTCCCTAAATTCTTTCACATTTCATCTGAGTTTTTCACTTCTAAAATATAATTAGTGTAGAAATATTTGTATTCTAGCTACTTTGTGAAAATATAGGATAAAATCCAAAAATCTTAATATTTAATTATAAGATCTCTATTTTGTTTTAGCCTATCCTTCCATTGGAATCTTCTCTCACTGGCCAACCTTCTTAAGCAGTTTTGGCATTGTACCACATTTGCTGGTCCACTTATGCTTGTTCTTCTTTTAAAAATTACTCTCAGTTTTTCTCTGGCTCTTAGGCAGTAATGAAGATACAGATTTTGTTAAATCATCTCTCTGTGCAGTGGGCCTATTGGGAAAATATAATTAAAAGTAAAATCTCCCAATCCATAAAACGTAGCCATAGAGTAGAAGATTTAAAAAAAGACAATTTTTATTATTAAATAATCATTGCATTAGAATGTGATATATATCACAGGCTTTCCCTACAGGGACTGCCAAGACAGAAAGAAAATTCGTAGTTTTATATAGTCAAGCAGATAGAGCCCATGGCATACATTTCTCAAGATAAACAATTACTAGTCCTCAAGTAAGGGTACTTGACAGCACCATTTGTGACACATAATTCATCCTAAATTCACCTAGTGATTTGGGTAACCATCTGTGTTTGCTCGTTGATTTTATCCAAAAGAAAAATAAATATCTTCTATCTATCTTTATAAAACAGTTAGGTTTTCAACTTAGAGTTGGGTACCAGCTGAAGTTAGCCTCCCACCTTCTCTCAGAAACTGGGAGAAGGCCACTATCTTCATTGATGCCTATATTGCAAAAAGATGCTTCCCAAGTCCTTAATGAAGACATTTCTCAGTTGTAAAACTGGCAAAAGGCTTATTTAGCTTTTTATTTACATACCTCTCTTATAACTCAAAGGAGCAAAATGCGATTCACAACTGCAAGTTTTCTAAAGTAAATGTTCTGAGGCAAGGGAAGGAGAGACAGATTCTTTTCCTTGTCAATCAAGGAGAAATATTTATTTGTCTTCTTTTTCATTCATATCTGCCCTTACAGGCCTCACTTCATGATGTTCTACCAATGTATTTTACTCACAAAATCTGAATGATGGCGTAACCATAGGAAGCAAAGGTGGGCTAGAGACAGCTGTAGTTTAATTTCCATTTTTTCTCTGTTATTAGCTTACCAGTAGATCATCAAGGTTATCAAAATCTGTGACATCTGTTGTTACAAAGCAGAAAGTTTCTTTGTTTTTTTTTTCTACAGGACAAAGATAGGTTTTATAGTAATAGATTTTGAAATTGGAAAACCTTTATACATTACAAAACAATAACTTTAACTTTAATTTAATTCCAATGGGAGGTGGAATGTGAGAACCTATCTAGCTAGTAACAGAACTTGAACTACAACTTCAGTCTTCTCATTTTCAGTTTACTTTCTACTCCACCAGTCTGCCTCTTATTTTACTTCCATAAAAGAACAATTTTAAATAAAGGAGAATTTTTTAATAATAAACTCAAAACTTATTAGGTATTTGTAAATACGAAATTATATTTTTCTGAGTGTTGCAGAGGAAATTTCTTTTCTTGAAAGTCTTTGTTCTGCCTTCTTCATTGCATTGGGAATTATTTTACTGGGAGGGGCCAGGGGTGGAATCATATGGTTTGGCACTGTGTTCCCACCCAAATGTCATCTCAAATTGTAATCCCTATGTGTTGAGGTAGGGACCCATAGTCCTCACCTGTTGAGGGAGGGAGGTGATTGGATCATGGGGGACGTGTCCCCCCATGCTGTTCTTGTGATAGTGAGTGAGTTCTCATGAAATCTCATGGTTTTATAAGGGGCTCTTCCCCACTTTGCCCCTCTTCTCTCTCCTGCCACTTTGTAAAATGTGACTGTTTTCCCTTCTGCCATGATTGTAAGTCTCCCGAGGCCTCCCAAGTCATGAGGAACTGTGAGTCGATTAAACCTCTTTATTAATTACCCTGTGTCAGGTATTTCTTTATAGCAGTGTGAAAGTGGACAAATACAGGCATTAAGAAGTTCTGTGGGAGTGAAAAGGCCTCTACATCCATCTCACCTTGGAGATGATGGTTCATGTTCTTCTGGTGCGAAATTGCTTTTGTTTAAACATTTCTAGTCTATTAGCTTACCTCTAACAGCTGACTGTTGTGTGTAGCAGTGCAAAGTAATGATTCTTCAGCAGATTAATCAGTTAATATAAATTTGGGCACATCATATTTTTTCTGGAAGCAAAAGTAAGAATCATATCCAAAGCAATTATATTAAGGTTTTAAAATTATTTATATCATTTTCTGTCATTTTAACTCACTTTTGCATTTAAGTTGCAAATGGTGTGATAGAGATATTTGATCATATAATGTTTTTATTTGCGTTAGCTGAACAAATAGCAAAGTTTAAATTACAGACTACATGTTTGCTTGAATTAACAAGGGTTGTACAATCTTAAGCATTGGAAATAATCAATTTCCTAATAATGGTATTAAGTTTAGAAGCTTTATGACCACATATACAGCAAAAAATCTAGTCTAAATTTACTATTAATGATGCAGTACTAATTTCCTAGTTTTTGTTTAATACATAAAGAGCCTTATATCTTTCTCTATTATGTTAATCCCAGGATCTAATGAGAGTGAACAAATGTTTCAGAGTGTTTGAAAGTTCGATATTAACACTAAAAAACCTTATATTTGAATTTGTATAATTTGTTTCCAGTAAATCAATAAGTACTACATATTTTGATGTTTGTAAAATAGTAATGCAATTAAAATATCCTTCTATTATCATTTAGTTAATCCTAATTTCACTTAAGCACCCAAAAATGTAATCATCCAAATAGTAGAGTGGTCCTATTTTCATTTTATTCTTAAATCAGAGCAATTGAAGAATATTCTTCACATAAATACATGTGAAACGGTAAAGCCTATTAAAACTAATTTAGTCTAAAACTTGACAACCAACGTTGCTACTGTTCCAGTGTAACCCATATTAGCTAGACAGATACTTTATTTCATATCGTGCTTCTCAAACAGATTTTTGATGGAATGCCACCGATGGGGAAAGTTAGTGACCCACCAAGGCACATTTATGGAATTTTCATTTTCCCCATTGATATGGAGAAATTAATTCATCCACCTTATAAAAATGAACATGCCTAGTTCAAGTGGCAGACTGGAAAACAAGATTAACATGCAAAGCCTCCGAGGGTTCTGTCTCTGGGGTCCCAGTCATGGCAGGTGGATCTTCTTTCTTCTCAGACTTTAGAATTACCTCTGTTAAAATGACAGCATTAAAATACATTTAGTCCCTCAACAATATTTTTAGAGTTTTTTAATAGGGGTTTTCTATTTTACTCATTCATTCAACAAATGTATTTTGGGGTCCTCATATGTGCCAGACACTGTTCTACATGCTGGGCATAGAACAGGGAGCAAAAGAGTCCAATATTCTTGGTCTCAGGGTACTTCAATTCTAATGAGGGAGACAGTGAAGAATAGAAAAGTAAATTACATAGTATGTTAGGTACTGGTAAGTTCTTGGGAAAATGAAGATGGCAAGGGATTGCAGTTCAAATACAGTGACCAGGGTAGATCTCACGAAGAAAGTAATGTGAGCTGCATGCAGTGACTCACGCCGGTAATCCTAGCACTTTGGGAGGCCGAGGCGGCCAGATCACCTGATTTCGGGAGTTTGAGACCAGCCTGACCAACATGGAAAAACCCCGTCTCTACTAAAAATACAAAATTAGCCAGGTGTAGTGGCGCATGCCTGTAATCCCAGCTACCAGAAAGGCTGAGGCAGGAGAATCCTTTGAATCTGGGAGGCAGAGATTGCGGTAAGCTGAGATCGCGCCATTGCACTCCAGCCTGGGTAACAAGAACGAAACTCCATCTCGAAAAAAAAAAAAACAAAAACAAAAAAACAAACAAACAAACAAAAACAGCAATGTAGAAATTAAAACCTAAAAGAAGTGAGGAAGTAAGCATAGAAAACTTGAAGAATTGCATTCCATGCAGAAAGTACATCGACAAAGAATCTGAGACTGGAGCATCACTGCCAAGTTCCAGGTATAAAAATACCAGTGTTGCAGAAGCAAAGTCAATAAATATGTGATAAAAGTGAAAACACTGGATCAGAGAATAAAAAGGTTCAAGATGATGTGGGGACTCTGTAGGATTACTGGCTTTCATTTTGGCTTAAATGAGATATTGGAGAATTTTTGAAGGCATGTGACATATTGTGTAGATCATTGTATCTAATAAATTACAGGTAGACTTCAGTGGATGGAGGAGAAAGAAAAGGGATGTATTAGAAGATTTTAATTATACAGGCAGATTCCCCAAAACTGTGCTTCTCAAAGAGGTATTTGATGGAATGCTTGGGATGGAGAATGCTATGGGAGTGTAAGAAAGACGGTGGCCTTTATCAAGTTGGCAGTAGCAGTGCTGGTGCGAATGGCTACATACTTATGCAGTATTTGAATGCAGAGTTGACTTGATTTGCAGATTGGATATGGTGGGTGAAAGAGAATAGTCCAAAGAAGAATACAGTTTGGAAGATAGGGAAGATTAGTTTTTGGCATGTTAATTTTGAGTTACCCATTTGACATCCAAGTGGAGCTGTCAAGATCAGATCAGGCAATCACAGAGATTGAAAGTTGGGAATTCTTAGCATAGAGATGGTATTTATGTATTTGAGTTGAGATAAGATCACGGAAAGATGTGACTGGAAAACAGTGAAGACCTGAGAACCTAGGCCTGGTCAACATCAAAGTCTAAAGGGCAAGGGGATGAGGAGGAGCCTGCAAAGGACACTGAGGGCTGGCTAAGCTAAATAGGAAATCTAAGAGAATGTGGGCTGCCTGAAGTCAAACAGGATTTTCAAGGAAGAGAGATGCACATATGTCAAGTGCTGTCGTTGGTTTAAATAAAAAAAGAACGCTGAGATGGACCATTCAATTTAGTAACATAAAAGCCATTGATATCCTTGATCACAGCATTATAAATGGGGAAGGGCAGGCAAAGCCTGATTAAAGTCCAGACAGAAGGGGAAAGAGACATTTGAGATGGAACAAAAAGAAAATTTTGTCAAGGTTTTTGCCTGTGAAGGGAAAGGGAGACTTAGGTGTCCAGGTATACATGAAAAGGGATGTGGAATTAGGAGACTGACTTTTTTTTTTTAAATGAATAAGTTAATAACTTGTTTTGTTTGTTTCTTTGTTTATTTGTTTGGTTATTTAATGGCAATAGGATAATACCGTAGAGAGGGGAAATGATGATATAGAAGAGATAGTGGAGCTGGAGCTATGTCTTTGAGTGGCTAAGAGGAAACGGGAGCTAATGTACAAATGGAGAGGTTGACCTTGACCAGGTGGTATTAACAAGAGAGAAGATAGAGGATATGAACACAAGTTTTCCATGCTGCACAAACATATGGTGGATGTGGTGGGAGTTTGTTGTTAGAAAATCGTTTTTTTGTTTCTGTTTGTTTGTTTGTTTGTTTGTTTTTTAGTAGACACAGGGTTTCATCATGCTTGCCAGGCTGGTCTTGAACTCCTGACCTCATGATCCGCCTGCCTCGGCCTCCCAAAGTGCTGGGATTATAGGCATGAGCCACTGCACCTGGCCCAGAAAATTGTTTTAGATTGCTTTTCATTGAATGAAAAAAAAAAGAAGAATGAGAAAGTATGTTTGGAAGTTTGGGAAGGACATAGCATCACATAGGCACATGAGAGAGTAAATGTCTTTGGACCATCCTGAACAGTTAGCTTGCGTTCGAATCACCTGAAGAGCTTGCTAAAACACAGATTGCCGAGTCCTGTGTTTCTGATTTATTAAGTATACGATGGGGCCTAAGAAGTTCACCATTATAGTATGGGGACCAGTTTTTGAGAACCATTACACTAGGAAATATATATAGTATGATTGTCTGGAAATACTAAGGGTCCAATTGAGGCCAGGGATACCAGTAATTGTGATTTCCTAACACAGTGGTTAACTGGCATGTCCTGCTGGTTTATCTTTTAAATTCTGTCCTAGAGAACAATTGTAGATGAAGAGAGATATACATATAAGACATTAACATAAAAACTAGGAAGATGAGAAAACCTAGAAAGATACAAAGCTGAGATTATGTGATTTGCATTTTGACATAGGTATAATGGTGAATATATGTTTTGCTCTTATCACGCCATTTCTCAGGGAGTATCCTTAATTTCTCAACTACTGCCATAACATAGAAAAGAAACAATGGATTGTCTGCGCTTGGATTTGCTAGAATAACTTCAGAGAAGTTCAGAGCCTTATAAAATGGGAAGCACTCTGCCCTGGTAACTGGCGCTCTTTACTCTGGGGCATTTTATGTCCTTACACTTGCATCATACCAGGAGGAACACTAAAAAAACACATTCAAACACATATACACATATTTCAAAGTGTACTTGACAACTTCAATAAACCATATGCAGAGTACTTAAGAACCTTTAATAACTCAGTGAAAAAAAATATTTTCTATATATATAATTTTTGGGATGGGTGGATGGGGTCCCACTATAACACCCAGGCTGGAGTGTGGTGGCATGATCACGGCCCACTACAGTCGTGAACCCATGAGCTCAAGCCATTCTCATGCCTCAGCCTCCATATTTTATAATTTAATAAATTTTATATCTAGGAGTATCAAAACTGCAACAAACCGAAAAAAGCAATGCAACAGACAGTTCAGACATTATAAATAGCCATAACACATTTTCTTTCATTGGTAAAGGGTAGATGTTGATAACAAAGAATTAGGAATCACAATTTATAAAGAAAGAGGAAAGTGAAATATTGTTTTTTAAATATAATGGTTCAATTGAAGACAGCCCTGAGTGATATAAATCACAAAAAGGTTTCAGCTGAGGGGAAACAGGCTAGGACCTCTTCCAGAAGAAAGCAGAAGTGCCATAAAGAAGTAAGAGATATGTATTTAATTGAACAGATATCTATTGAAGAATGTCAGGCATCTGTGAACAAAATAAATACATAAAGATACCTGACCTTTGTACATTACAGAAAATAAAAAGATAAAAGAACAGAAAAAACAAAGAAACAAGAGAAAAGAAAAAGGCAATAACGCAGAAGAAAGAAAGGCATGCCAATGTGACAACAGGTAGATAATAAAAGTCTATGACAAATATAAATAAATAAATCAAGAAACCAATAGAGTGAAGCAGGTGATACTAATGCATATCTAGGTTTTAGACTCACTGTAACTATAAACTTCCTTTTAAATCCATCATGCTGTGGTTTTATGAAGGTTTCCTTAATCACGATTTGGAGCAGATAACTAATCAGAATTTCTAGCCCCCATGGGCCCTGATTAATTAAAGATTGAATATTAAAAAAGATATTTGTGAAGTCATTTCAGAGATTTAAAATCTTTTATACTTTAAAAACAGAATGCAGGCACAACCAAAGCAATCTGAAGATGACATTTAAAGGCAAATTGAATTTTCCTCTTGTAGCAGATATAGATCTCAGTTGTATCAACACATAACATTGTTTACCATAATTTGTCATCAGTCATGAAATAAAAATATAATTGAGACAAAAAAGAAAAATAAACAGAGGGAAGAACTCTTTGGAAAAATAATGATAACTTTAGAGAAATAAAGGGCAGATAAAATGTTCACTTAAAATAACTCATAAGATGTAAAATACAGTAATTTTTACACTGTTCTTCCCCTTAAAACTTACATTTTCATTTCATTTTCAACTGCACAATTTTTTGTTATAATATTTTAAACTTCAAAGGTTTTAAATGATTACCTATAAATCTCTTCAAATAAGTCTATAAATGAAATAATGTATTTTTAAATTTTCAGAGCAAGTCTTAAAAATTATTCTGTTGAGTTATTTTATTTTATTATTGTTTTTTAGATGGAGTCTTGCTCTGTCACCAGGCTGGAGTGCAGTGGTGTGATCTCGGCTCACTGCAACCTCCACCTCCCAGGTTCAAGCGATTCTCCTGCCTCAGCCTCCCTAGTAACTGGGACTACAGGCACAGGCCACCACGCCCAGCTAATTTTTGTATTTTCAGTAGAGATTGGGACTTAGCATGTTGGCCAGGGTAGTCTCGATCTCTTGAACTCATGATTTGCCTGCCTCAACCTCCTAAAGTGCTGGGATTACAGGCATGAGCCACTGAGACTGGCCGCGTTATTGTTTTGTGTGTTATTTATTTTTATACATTTTTTGTATTATACTTTAAGTTCTGGGATACATGTGCAGAATGTGCAGGTTTGTTACATAGGTATGCACGTGCCATGGTGGTTTCTGCACTCATCAACCCATCATCTACGTTAGGTATTCCTCCTAGTGCTATCCCTCCCCTTGCCCCCCATCCCCTGACAGGCTCCGGTGTGTGATGTTCCCCTCCCTGTCCCCATATGTTCTCATTGTTCAGCTCCCACTTATGAGTGAGAACATGCAGTGTTTGGCTTTCTGTTCTTGTGTTAGTTTGCTGAGAATGATGGTTTCTGCTTCATCCATGTCCCCACAAAGGACATGAACTCATTCTTTTTTTTATGGCTGCATAGTAATACATGGTGTGTATGTGCCACATTTTCTTTATCCCGTCTATCATTGATGGGCATTTGGGTGAGTTGCAAGTCTTTGCTATTGTGAATAGTGCTGCAATAAACATACATGTGCATGTGTCTTTATAGTAGAATGATTTATAATCCCTTGAATACATACCCAGTAACGAGATTACTCGGTCAAATGGTATTTCTGGTTCTAGATCCTTGAGGAATCACCACACTGTCTTCCACAATGGTTGAATTTACACTCCCACCAACAGTATAAAGTGTTCCTATTTCTCCACATCCTCGCCAGCATCTGTTCTTTCTTGACTTTTTAATGATTGCCGTTCTAACTGGCGTGACATGGTATCTCATTTTGGTTTTGACTTGCATTTCTCCAATGACCAGTGATGATGAGCTTTTTTTCATGTTTATTGGCCGCATAAATGTCTTCTTTTGAGAAGTGTCTTTCTATTCTTCGCCCACTTTTTAATGGGGTTGTTTTTTTTCTTGTAAATTTGTTTAAGTTCCTTATAGATTCTGTATATTAGCCCTTTGTCAGATGGATAGATCGCAAAAATTTTCTCACTATTATTAGCAGTATACTTTAAAAGTGTCATTGTTTATAACATGAATATATTGTTTGTATTCCAAACTCTGAGAAATAAACTGTATCAAAAGTGAAGTTGTATTGTAGATATAACCCTAAATGAGATGAAGAATTCTTTACTTTTTGATAAATTCATGCGTACATGAATAAATATTACTTATTGCCTGATTGAGACATGGTTCAACTTCAATTCTATTTCTATTTTTCATTTTTATTGATCTAAGATCAGTAGAATCTTAGTCTCGAGAGTAAGTAAAATGGAATAAAAATCCTTTTTTGTATTGATGCCGCTTAATTATTTGAAATCTTTCTGAGATGCTTCACAAGAATACAAGGATCCATCATGAAAAATAATTCTTAATGACTTACTAGCTAACAATTCTAGGTTCTCCTTCAATTGTGTTGAAGGCAAAGAATTGTAAACTACCTGACAAACAAAAGAATTTGTTACCACTTATTAGAATAATTGACATTCTTAATTTCTAATTACTTTTTTAAAAAAGGTTGTACCCAAACTAATCCTGTCAAATGATTATGGATTATACTTTTCGCTTCATTTTCTTTTCTAAGCGTAATTTTTATTCAACATATAAAGTGATTTTTATTTCAATATACATTTACCAATAAAAAGATATTATATTGGCAAATGTATATTAAAATAGAAATCACTTACCTCATCCTATTATATGTTATAATTATCTTTGGGTTAAAATTTTGGAGTTGTATTTAGAATACTAAATTTTGGAGGGAATAGTCTGCTATACAACCAAATTAGCCAAGCCAGGCATCACTCAGCAAGGCCAGACATCACTATTGTCCAATATCAGAGTACCTTTCTTCAAGAAGTGTCTAATACATGCTATATTAGGTGTTTTGAGGGACCTGAAAAAAAAAAAAACCTGGATAACTAAATCATGAATTTCATCTATAATATAGATTATGAAAAGCAGTCAAGTTTACAACGATATAGATCTCTTGTATGATTAATTCATCTAATTTGTAAATTATAAGAGCTAAAATACATTTATATGGTATATGTCAATATTTAATTTGTAGGCATAAATAAAGTATGTATTAAAATTTTAAATTATTTATCAAGGATTGTACACAAAATAACATCTCCTGTATCGACTTCCCCAGAAACTGTGACTATGTTAGGTTATTTGGCGAAAGGGAAATGATGCTGCAGATGGAATGAAGATTGCTAATCTGATGACATTTAGAGAAGATGATTACCGTTGATTATTCAGGTAGACTCAATGCAATTATAAGGATGTTAATAGGTAGAAGAGGCAAGCAGAAGAGTCAGTGAGTTTCTATGATACTACACTCCTGGCTTAAAATTAAAGGGGCCATGATCCCACAGGGGCAGTCTCTAGAAGCTGGAAAAGGCAAGGTCACCTATTCTCCCCAAGAGCTTCTAGAAAGAATGCAACCCTACTAACAGCTTGATTTTGACCCATTGAGGATCCCTTTAAAGATCTGACCTCAAGATCTGTTAAGATAATAAATTTGTGGTTTTAAGCTATTAAGTTTGTTGTAATTTTTTTTTTACACCAGCAATGATAAACTAATACAGGTGTATAATTATTCATGGTTTCCCTTTGGTTAAATATGTGTTTTTTTCCTGAACTACTTTTTGTCTTTGAGAAGATAAAATAAGAGTTACATATGAAAACCAGAAAAACTCCACTAACTTGTTGGATATAGATACCACAATTTCCTGTCTAGTTAATTTTTAACAAGTAAGGCATATACTACTAAAATTTACTTGTCTTAGTGGCTGATAGTAATTTTTACATGGGAAATAATCAACATTTTACATTATCAACTAAGATTAGAACTGTCAATAATACAGGTATATATTTTATATGCTTTAAAAATTAAATCCTATCTTTCGTAGTGAGTAAGCTATACCCACATCTCCACAAAAGTCACAGAAAACTCACGGTTGACTTTTTTTGCTGTATCTTGAAAAAATTGTTATTTGCAGAACCATTTTGTCTACTTAAAATGTTTTTCTTCCTAGCTAATTAGGCATTCTCTAATGAATAGTAAAAAAAAAAAAGTAACTGGAAAGACAAACTTTTGTTTAGATTTGTGAAAAAGCCATTTTTAGCTCTCCTTGTTGCTTATTTGCTCTGCTTCCATCCTGCTCTCAGATACTTTCTCAAAAGCAATGCTTTTCTGACAATGGCGCCTGATGAGAGAACTGAGATTGTAACAACAACAACAAAAGCAGGGTACTCCACGTGCTCAAACTACATTACATCTGATTTTAGAATTTCCCACCAAAAGTCAAAATATATTATATTTTAAGCGATTCTTTACACTTGGCAAAGTATGTATGAAACAAGAAATTCAAGCAGTTTTACCCAGCCCAAGTTTAATGATTGTGAGTTACCAATTAGCGAATTCCCCTCTCCGTGTTTTCAAGTACCCTTTTAATGGGTGCTCTAAAGGTTTTAAACTAGAGGCAATTGTAATGTTAAGGAAAAGATTTTAAATGTCCCTTCATTTTTTAAAGTTTTTTTTTGTAAGACAGTAGGTGGTAGAGTATGAAGAAAGAATGCCAATAGAATTTGAGGATCTAGAAAAAATGTCCAAGTTCCCCTTGATAAATATTTATGTGTTTCTCAAAGCATACTATTTGAAGAGAGCTGTTCTTGAGGATACAATTTTAGTGATGTATAGTAATTGGAAGCTAGGGGATGCCAAAGGAAGGCAGTTGATATATATCTATATACAAATTGATAAGGGGAAGATACAGGTGTTGAAAATTATAGTGCAAAATAAATACAGAATTTAAAAATTTGAAGGCAAACACTGGAAAAAGAAAAATAAAGTATTTAAAATTTAAACTAGCAGAAGAAATTCTGACCTGTCAAATGAAAGTCAGTGAAAGGAGGAAGGCTGCCTAGCTTGAAAATACAGTAAATTAAGCATAAAATTGCATGAATTGTAATAAATTCAAATAAGTTAAAGGAGCCAATGACAAACAGAAATGCTCAGATTATATTGCAACAGTTAAGTTTCAGCAATATATGTTGCAAATAATCTACAAAATAAAATAATACAGAGAATTGAAAACCAAAAAGATGAAGAAAGAAATACAGGTATATATGATGCAAAAGAAAATTTATGTTGTGTCCTAAATATGTGATAAAATATAATTGAAGTTAAGACATTGTCTACTAATACATGTACAAGGAACAATATGTTAAGAAAATGTAATAGTTTTGAAAAGAAATTTACCCAATTCACAAATATGAAGTAGAACTTGCATATATAAAGTAAAATTTGATAGAGATATGGGTAGAAATAAAGAATCCATGGCTATAATTAGATTTTTCACACAAATTCTTAGAAACTGATACATCAAGCAATATAAGCAAATAACAGAAGATATGAATGATCAACTAAAATAAAATAATAAGAGGTCAAAATATTAAATGGAGAAGATCAAACCAGTGGGAACCATAGTAGGTGGAAATAATCACCAAATTTAAAGAGAATACATGTATTTTCTAGCATAACTGGACCATTCATAGATACTGCTGGTGTCATAGGCAAGACTAAAGAATTCTTCATGAAAAAAAAAAATGACTAAGACATCGAAATGTCCTGAAACTAAGACATTCAAAAGGAACACATATGAGGGTAAATATCTGGGTCGATGCAAAATATTGCACAAAAATTAAACAATAATATGGAGATTTAAAATATATGTTTTTAATTTTTAGCCACAGGGATTAATATAAATAAGATTCTGAACTTATGAGTAACACAAATAAGTAATAACATATTCAATTTTAATCAACAAGTGTTAAACAGTATAATGACTAGTATAACCACTAAAATAATAGCTCATGAATGTAGAAAAAGTTAAAAGGAAATAAGGAATAAGTGAATAATATTTAAGTTAAGAAAAGGCAAAAGAATTAAAGAACAGAAAGGTAAATATCTAAGTAAATGTTATGGGTTATTCTTTTGTTTCTAAAATTATTTTTTATGATTGAAAGCAAAAATAATGTTTTCTGTCATGGTTGTCAATATAGATTCCTAGATCCACTCATATTGCATTATGATAGCCATGCTTCATTATGATAAAAAGGGTATATCAACCAAAATGTATCAGAATTCTAAGTCTGAAGGAACCCAACAAAATACAAATTGTGGTGTGTTGTTACACTTTAATAAAAGATTTACTAAACCAAAAAATTCCATTTAAAATATAAATTAAACTCTAGAAGAACTATAAAAATTTTAAGGATTCATTCCATCAAAGGCTGGCATACAAAGTTATCAGCATATGACAGAGTAATAGAAAATGTTGACAATGCCTAGATAGAGAAAAGTGATTATTATTGACATTCAAATCAACAAAGAGTATAGTAAACTCACTAGAAAAATGGGCCCCCCAAAATCCCAATATGATATCAGCACTCTGACAAATGCCAATGTGCATGAATAAAATGTGATATGTATCTTCACCACTTGCTTAGAAAATATAAAACTTATAGATGATATTGTGTGATGAGGATATGAGGAAAAACAACCTTTATGGGCAATGGATGGGAAAGTAAATGGTTGTAAACATTTTGGAAAATAATATGGCAGGACCCATTTAAAATTATGCATGCCCTACAACCTAACTGTCTTATTGTTGGGTGTATATTCCTGATATAGTTTGAATGTGTGTCCCCTCCAAATCTCATGCTGAAATGCGTTCCCCAATGTTGGTGGTGGGACCCAGTGGGAGGTATTAGATCATGGGGTGGATCCCTTATGAACGGTTTAGCACAGGAATGTCCAGTCTTTTGGCTTCCCTGGGCCACATTGGAAGAAGAGTCATCTTGGGCCACACATAAAATACACTAACACTAACAATAGCTGATGAGCTCTCTCTCTCTCTCACACACACACACACAGACACACACACACACACATACGCACACACAAAGCTCATAATGTTTTAAGAAAGCTTACAAATTTGTGTTGGGCCACCTTCTTGTTGGGCCACATTCAAAGCTGTCCTGGGCTGCATTCAGCCTGCAGGGTGTGAGTCAAACAAGCTTGATTTACCACCATCTCCTTAGTGGTAAGTGAGTTCTTGCTCCATTAGTTCACGAGAGATCTGATTGTTTAAAACAGACTTGGACCTCTCCCTTCTTTCTCTTGCTCCCTCTCTGACCATGAGACACGCTGGCTCCCCTTCACCTTCTTCCATGATTATAAGCTTCAGGCCTTGCCAAGAACAGATGTCGTTGCCATGCTCCCTGTACAGCTTGCAGAACCGTGAGCCAAGATAAACCTCTGTTTTTAAAAAATAAATTACCCAGCCTCAGGTATTTCTTCATAGCAATATAAATGGACTAACACAACCCCTGACAGATTGTGACGCGTAACCAAAAGATGTCTTCATAAGGAGGCTATTTACAGAAGTGAATTCTATGGTAGCTGGATGTCAGTGTTAATTCTACTGCAAGACTGCATAGGGGAAAATGTGGTGGGTTCATTTTATTGAAAACTATGCAGCAGCTACAGGGAAATAAACAACCTAAAAGAACCTACAACAATGTGGGAATGTATGAAGAACATTATGCTCTGTGAAAAAAATTAGAAATAAAATAGATGTATATCATAATACTCTTTAAGAAAAATGTATACACTCTTGTTTATACACACACAGACACTGAGAAAACAACTTTCTTATTTTGTAAGAATTCTTTAAGAGTAAAGAACCTATATCAAACACATGAGAGTGCCTGTCTATGGCTAGGGAAAAGGAATAAAAGAATTAAATAAATAAGTAAAACCAGAGAGAAACTTCTAGGAAACAATAATGATAATGTCTCAAAAAATAAAGAATGTGATTAATTTTCTACAACTGTGATACAAAAACAGAGACTCTCAAAATCAAACTTAATGAGCTTTAGCATAGAGTTTCTTGTAGGGAAAAAATTAAATTTAAATACTTAGCTTGGATAGTTTGATGAAAGAATGGTGTACGTGAGGTAGTAAGATGCACCAAATACTCCCATGGGTGTATGGGAAGAAAATACTCAAGATACTACTTACTACTTGTATTCATTTTGTACTCCTTTTTCCAGCAGAATTTAGCATCTAAATGCTAGAGGAGGCCAGGCATGTTTACTCATGCCTGTAATCCCAGTGCTTTGTGGGGCCAACTCAGAAAGAATACAAGAAGCCAAGAATTCCAGACCAACCTGGGCAACGTAGTGGATTTTTGTCTCTCCAAAAAAAAATTTAAAAATTAGCCAGGCATGATGTTGTGCACCTGAAGTCCCATCTACTCAGGAGGCTGAGGCAGGAGGATTGCCTGAGGCCAAGAGTTTGAGGCTGCAGTGAGCCATGATCACGCCACTGCACTATAGCCTGGGTGACAGAATGAGAGCCTATCCCTTAAGAAATGAAAATAAATAAGTACTAGGAGACCACACGATCTTTCCAATTTCCAGCCCCTATTGCAGTGTTCTGTAGATTAAATATTTTGTGTATTCCCAGTGTTCCAGCTGTTTCTCTGTACATTTCAGGCTTGTTCTTCTGTCTACTCAAGTCCCTAGATCCAACAAATGTCCTTAGGGATGGACTCAGCTGCTGGCCTGTGATCACCCAGGAAGGGCTTGTTTTTCTCTGAAATTTAGTCCCCTGAAACTTTAGGCCCATAGCTTTTGGATGGCTTCAAAAATACAGTTTTTCAAAAAAACGTTTATCTAACGTCGTCTCATTATGGCAGGAGCAATTACCTTTGGTAACTTTCTGTTTTAATTGGAAGAAGAACCTCTGACATTAGCATTGTAATGAGGGTTTGGTCTTTCACCTTAATGAAGCAATTAAATCCAAATCTATTTTGTATCTTGTGCTTGTAATGAAGGATTAAATGAGAAAATATATGTAAAATGCATAATATAAAGGGTCAAATGTACACTATTGATATACAGTTATATTATGACTACATGCTGAAAACATATGATCAATCTGATCGCTTCCTGATATCAAAAGCCAGACTTTTTCAGTGATACTTAACTGTCAAATAATTCTATTTGATTTTTCAGTGGGGCTTAGTGTTTGGTCCGTAAACTGCTATTACAGTCTGCAAATCAGTTATGTCAATAAGCATGCTAATTTATTCAGCAGACATATTTTTTGTAGCAATAGTTACTCAATGAAAGAAGTAATGTATTGATTTAATTTCTAGTGGAAGCTACTTCTCTCATTGTGAACTGGTTACAAACATTTAACACTCCAGCTTTTCAGGGAGTACTGATAGGCATTACCCAAAGAAGATAATATGTTCCCATAAAGCAGGAACTCTTATTCCTCTTTATCTTCTTTTTGATAAACTCTACAAGCGCTTGGTACTGAATCCACATTCCTTGAGAGGTACGAAACAATCCTCCATAAATTTAAATTTATGCCCATGAAGAATCAACTGGGGAGCATGTTCAGAATGGGAGCTCCAGAAACCTATGGCAAACACATGGATATAAGGTTACGTTAGACACATTCCCCAAATTACCTTTAAATTCAATGG
Source organism: Homo sapiens (assembly GCF_000001405.40). NCBI lineage: Eukaryota > Metazoa > Chordata > Mammalia > Primates > Hominidae > Homo > Homo sapiens. Next base: position 14,494,951 of record NC_000008.11, on the reverse strand, counting down.
GAAAAAGTGACAAGGAACAATATTTAGGGCAGCAAGGATAATGCTACCTTCTCATGCCTAACATAAGCAAATTAAAATCTAATATTAATGCTCTGAAGTCTAATAATAAATAGTAAGGTTTATGTCTATCAGACAGCCACTGCAGGCTACTGCAAAAACCAGCTACACAACCATCTGAAAGCCATTTACCTCCCTCTGGTTACAAACAGTCACAAGTCTACTGATGTTGTAGTTAAGGCTGATCTTCTATCTTTCAGCAACAACGTTGTTTCTCAAATGCTACTATTTGACTGAAAAAAGTTTTGCAGCCAGAGCCTGTTGCAAGTATTGGTAAATTGAAAATACAAAATCAAACAACTTCTCATGAATGATTAAACATTGAAAAACTGCTGTAAGGAGCGTGTGTGTGTGTGGTGTGCGTGTTTGTGTGTGTGCATGTGTGTATGTATTCAGCTTTATCAACTTTAACTTTATTAACTTTATTTAAAACCTAATTTTAAAATTAGGGAGTGAAATATCATTCTTCTTCTCTCATCATAAAACTTTTGGCTCATGGGATTCTGACATTCTGTCACTCTTGGAAAAGTTGAATTCATGAAAACAGTAGCCGGGCTGAGCCACCCTATGCAGGTCTTACACAAGTGCTCCCTATTTTGTGTAACAAGCAATTTCACAAGCCCAAAGATAGTGATTGAGAGAGACAGGCTCTGAAGTCTCTTTATTTCAACTTCTTGGAATCACCATCTTGTTAATGCAGGCCAGTAAACACCAAATTTTTCTGTGTTGTTTATCAGATTAATTACTTTTTTCATAGAAACAGTGAGTTGGGAGGATAAGAAGCAAGAAACTCTGTCCATGCTTCCTCCTGAAAACACGCGAACAAATATTTTAACCCTGTTTTTAAGAGATGAATGGGTAGTACATTATTGCTTGGTTATTTGTCCTTCCACTTGTGACAGATTACTGCTGCATATTTTTTTCTCAATCTCTGGAATCATGGCTGAATTAGTACTTGTACTGAATTAGTAATTGTATCAAAAGTCCATTAGACTTATTGCCAAAGAGTGTGCTTGGATTTATCTATTATAAATAGTAATAAAAATATAAAAACAGTATTATAACTAAAATAATCCCACTACGGAGGAAAGTTACACACTGTTATGAAAGCCACTCTTATGAAAGCCTTTCATATTTAGGGATTCCAGGTAAGGCTTCCCTTGGTGGGAAAGACTGAAGAGCAAACCAAAACAAGATTAAGAGCTGATTATATAAATATGGGATAGTAGGGCCAGGAACGGTGACTCATGCCTCTAATCCCAGCACTTTGGGAGGCTGAGGTGGGCAGATCATGAGGTCACGATATCGAGACCATATTGGCCAACATGGTGAAACCCCATCTCTACTAAAAATACAAAAATTAGCTGGGTGTGGTAGTGCACACCTGTAGTTCCAGCTACTCGGGAGGCTGAGGCAGGAAAATCGCTTGAACCCTGGGAGGCAGAGTTTGCTGTGAGCCGAGATCATGCCGCTGTACTCCAGCCTGGCAACACAATGAGACTCCATCAAAAAAAAAAAAAAAAAAAAAAAAAAAAGAAAGGATGATAGTGGGAAAAGTATGTGAATAAGAAGACCAAAGTCCAGAAGACAAGAAGTATTTTACATTTAAGGAATAAAATATTATTGAATCATTCAGATTGAGGAGGTTCATGTCATCAGAGGAGAGGAGGGAGAAATACAAAGAACAGATTTTGTACTGCTTGAACACTATTTTGGACTCTTGATATTCATCCGATTACCAATGCAAAGTCTTTGGGAGTTTTTAAACAGAGCAATTTACAATGCAAATTGTATTTGCATTTTGAGTAAGTCATTCTGGATATAGAAAAGAGAAACATTTTTTGGAGAGACAATCAGGGAGAGCACTTTAGAGGTGGTCACCATAGCCCAGGTTAGAGAGTTGGGGGGTTAGATCCCATGATAGCAATGAAGACAGAAAGAGAAAAATTATTTCAAGAACTATAGAGAAGGTAAAATCTGAAAAGACTTGGTGATTGGAAATGGAAATGTGAAGAAGGAAATGTCAAGAATTACACTGAGATGTCAGGTGTAGGTAGAGGTTGATATCATTTTCTGGAAAAAAATCATAGGAACACAGGAAGAATACCACTTTTAGTGAAGAGACGTCCAGGTTGCTTAAAGTATCACGAAATGGAACTTTTCCAAATTCACTGAAGTAAATGAGGAAGGTTGAGCCTTGAGGCACAGAAGATGGTGAAAGTGGTAGCAGTGGCCTTGAGATCAGTACTTGTACTAGACTCAAGAAAAGTTAGTGAGAAATTTGAGCAGATAGAGACTAGAATATTTGAGTGGAAAAAAAAGCTTTCACTTTTCTTCGTAAATCTTGTGCTATTTGAGGAGTAAATAATTGGGCCTTATTTAGAGTTGCAAATTTGGGTAAGCACTGAAATAAACAGGAAATAGTATAAAATGGAAGCAGTTCACCAATTTTATTCTCTAAACATTTACTGATTTTCTTCCAGGTTTAAGTGTTATAATAAGCACTGTGCAGTAATTAACTTATCAACAATATTTTCTCATGTAATACACAAAGAAACATAATTTTTAAAGTCCAGTATTGCTTTCAGCTTATACCAATCCTTACCCATTATCCCAATTCATTTAATCAGATTATTTCAGTGATAAGTACATTTTGAAGTTAATGGAATATTTAAAAGGTTGTGATGATGTAACTGCTGGTGGATTCATGTTATTCAACACAATTTCATCATAAATCTTATCTATAAAATAAACATTTTAACACATCTATTATTCTCTCGCTTTATGTAAAGTTTATATCTATCATTTACTTCTATCAAAGTTTCATTTCTCGTTTTTTATTCTCAATCATAAATGACAGCATTAATTTTTACAAACATTAATGATGAGACATACTCGCTCATAACTATTTATATCTAAGTCGTCTTAGATTTATTGAACAATTTCTGAGTAACTAATGGCTAGCAATTTATTATTCTGTGATGATAAAGGATTTTACAGTATCCAGGCTTCAGACATATTTTTGAGAACTCATTTCTAATGGGTCAAAATTTAAATCAGTTGTAATACATGATTCATTCAAATATATTCTCCAGAATGAGCTATTAAAATGAAATACCAAAGTGGTTCCCCAAGACATCAATTTATAGCCTACATGTGCAGTGGAGAGTTACTGGACAGTGTAACAAAGAAAATTTTATTTCTTGTCTTCTTTTCCGTAAGATGTTTCTTACTCCCAGTAACATAAAAATGTATACTACAAGCAAGCAAACATTAACACACATATATTCATATTGATATCAGCTTTCCTTTATCTATTAAAGGATATAAAAAACTTGTGTTTTTTAGGATCTTGTAACTCCTTGTTTATTGGAAAGTACATAAATTCTTCACAGTCTTGAGAGTTATGTTTGGTACATTACTCAAATAGTGTCCAACCACTAGTTAGACAGCTTAGCACTCAAATCGCCTTAGAAATCTCTGCAGACTCACCTCATTTGAACAGTCCTGATAAATTACAGAAGTGAGTAATACACTGAGAGATCCCTGATGTGTGATGTTTTTGCCTGTAGAGTATTTTATGTGTTGATCCACTGGAGTGTGTGTGTGTGTGGGTGGGTGGGTGAGTGTGTGTGTGTTTACATTGTGGTATGTGTCTGTTCGGTGTATCGCCATTAGGGCTTTGGAGGAGTGAGGACCATAAATTTGTAAACATTCCTACATACCTGCTTCATAAGACATGTACCAAACATAGTCAAAAGTAACTAAACCAAGTAAACAAATTAGATCTCAATTAAATTTAATACTGGGCTGGAAAGAAGTATTCAAGGCCAAGTAAAATGAGGAAACATAACAAAATAAATGAAATGTTTAAATTGATTAGTAGAATGAGACAGGAATAATTTTCAAGGTTTTTAATTTTTGATGAATATCGGTATATAAAACTAAGAATTATATGGCTGTCAATTGATTAAATACAGCACTTAAGATTTTAGCTCCTGAAACAGCAATATATGAGCTTCTAATTCCACTTTTCTGTCTCAAGAATGACCTGTTAAAATGATTTTTTTTTTGAAATGATCAATTCTCACCTTGAAAGAGCTTAATAGAGCTTACATGAGAATCTGGATTGTCATAAGAGGTCTGATGTTTTTAGTGGTATGTTTGCATTTCTGTTATGTACATCAGTGTCAAACATTCATTTCCTGAGCTGTTCTCAAGAACACAATTTGACTTGTAATGGACACTCAATAAATGATTGGTTGGATGATCAAATCAACACTTATTTCTATGAATTTTAATATCATATGAAAGTGATCTTTTATACTCATCAATGAAACAGAGAGAGACGAGAGACAAAGAGCAATTAAGAGTAAGGGGATGAGAATCAGACCTCATTTTGCAGTGTGTTTCCTACATTGTTCATTTTTGAATGCTTTGAAACACTTATCATACTCAAAATATATTGGTATTTCCTAGGCAGAAAATGGGATTCAAAGAAAGTCCATATTTCTATCTTACAATAACTTACACTATAATGCACAGAAGACATAAATTTCTAAACTACTCTATTCATAGAAAACGTAGGTAAATTTAGGTGAGCAAGAAGCAGGAGAAAGTTTAGTAATCAAGCTGAGTGTGATTGTGAGATTCAATCTAATATTATCTTATACAATTATTGTACCATGTAAAAGTTGACATATCTGTTGAAATAAAAGGCAGGAGAGTTGGCCGGGCATGGTGGCTCACACCTGTAATCCCAGAACTTTTGAAGGCCAAGGCGGGTGGATCACAAGGTTTGGAGTTTGAGACCAGCCTGACCAACATGGTGAAACCTCATATATACTAAAAAGACAAACATTAGCTGGGCGTGGTGGCATGCACCTTTAATCCTAGCTACTCAGGAGGCTGAGGCACAAGAATCTCTTGAACCTGGGAGGCGGAGGTTGCAGTGAGCCAAGATCGTGCCACTTGTACTCCAGTCTGGGCGACAGAGCGAGACTCCATCTCAGGAAAAAAAAAAAAAAGGTAGGAGAATTTTTCGGCGAGCCAGTGAAATCTGCTGCATGATGTTAGGAGAGAGGTTAGTCAATGTGATTAGGCCAGATGTGTTTATTAACTGAGGCCTAGGAAAGTTAGATTCCTAACCTCTCACAGAGACTGGGAGATAGGGGAGCTAAATTGTGTAAGATTTATATTTACGATATATTTAATAATATATAAGAAAGAAATATGCCAATTTCAAGTCTTTTTTCTAGTTGGCAATACTTTATTTTCACAACATCATTATTTTTTAGTACCTCTGTTTTGGGCGTTTAAAAAGTGGGTTAAAAAAGCCAGACCATCTCCCTTTTTTCCACCTTCCCCTTTACTGCCATTTACATCCACAGGCACATGCACTCACACATATTGACCAAAATTAATTTACATGTACAAATGTGTTCTTTGAAGCAAAAAAGTCAATCTATTTGGTAAAATTGTCATGCTTATTTGAATTATATTTATAATGTTGTTAAGAAGAAAGAACGTCCTTAATTTTTTGAAGACCCTATTCTGTGTCCATTTTATAATTTTGTGGCCACCGAAAGAAATATGCCAAATTGTAGACACAGTGAATGTAGTAAGTGGTAGTTTAAAATGTTTAATTTTTACAAATCGTTGTTCCCGTTCTAATTTTTGAATGCAACCACAGCCTCTTGCAAAACAGCCTTGTTAAACTAATTCGCTGTTAATGAATTCTTAAGTAAAAGGTGACATGCACAGGAATTTATATTGCCCTTTTATGTTTAATAAAATTAAAAGCCTGAAAAAAAAGATGCGTTCTGTGAATTTGAATTACTTTATGTTCAGTTCCACTGGTTGCAGTGTTTTATCTTTATATTATATATATACATATATATTATGTATATCTATATATATATAATTGGTTGATGAATTTTTTTCTTTTAGATACTGCTGCTGAATCCATGGAGGAAAAAAAGGGTAAATTTCCAGAACTAATTAATCTTTAGTTAAATGTCAAAGAAAAATTGCAAGAGATGGTGTTAAAGAGGTGGGGAAAATGTTATTTAAGACTATTGCAAAAGAGGTCAAGATTATTGCAATAAAGAGAAAGATTGAATTCAACTCTGCTGAAACAAAAGGCAGGAGAGTTTGCATTAGCGAGGGAAGTCTACTGCTTGATGTTAGGAGAGTGGTTGGTCAATGTGATTAGGCCACATGTGTTTTCTAATTGAAGTTTAGGAAAGTTAGGTTCCTAACTTCTCACAGCGATGGAAAGATTGGGGCACTGTCTTTCTAGATGATTACATTTCAATGGGTTAGCTCCGAGATCCTTGAGAGGCATTTCCATGTTGTAAAACTGGCTAGAGGCTAGGGGATGATTTACATCTCAAAGGGGCAATTGCAACTTTATTGAAGTGAGTAATCTTAGGAAGCACAAGCGAAGGGCCTAGCATCAGAAGGAAACCTCTTTAAACTTTTGTCTAGCTGGAGGGGAGTTAAGGCCATTGTGGTCTCTTGCTCATAAGCAATGGATGAAAACAGCTTACTTTAACCGTGGCGATGGGACGCAGAATTTCAAACTTTTATCCATAATACAATATAGAATTAATATCAATCCATCAATCCTGGGCTTCTAATAAAAGGACAACAAATGTGTTTTTGTTTGTTTTATTAATAATATCATCAAACTAGTGAGACAGTAGGGAACAACCAGGTCACGATTTAGATAGGACCAGAAGAAGTTAAAAGGGGAATCCAGCGTTCAGAACTCTTTTCGTGTCAGGGAATTTACTTTTCTGGAGAAGCCACCAAAAGTCTGAGCTGCACATTTGGGAGCCTCAGGGACTTAGGAGGAGAAAAGTTGTTTTTTAAAGCTTCTCAAAAGTGGGGTTCCTGATTAACCACTGAGGTTTCCTGGAAAGCCAAAAGATCGTGTCCTGAAAGAAAAGATAAAACAGAATTAAACTTGTCATAACACTTACTACAGAGTAGAAACGCCAGTCCTTAAGACGCTCACTTCGGTTGTACATGTGCTACAATTGGAATAAGACAGACAACACTAGCAGGCCCCCTGTCCAAAGATGACATGTAGATTTGGATTTGTGACACAATCTCTGTTTTTAAAAAGTAGCACTGAGGTACGAATACCTTAAAATTATATTAAGTATTAGTAATTCTGAGATTACTAATTCCCTCAGGCACCTGGCCAAAGAAATTTCTCTCTGGGGTAAGATAAAATCAGCTGAGGATTCAGCAATATTATAGGTTTAAACCATCCTCAAGTAATATTTTACCCCTAAGAAACATAATTGAAATAAATTATCACTAAACAGAAGAACAATGGTTTGAAGTCAAAAGCATTTCAAGACTCAAACTCTTAGAATCTGGAAGGAACAGTATAGCACAAATCAGCACATCTAGGTGAGAAACAAGTAATCATAAAGTAAGAGAGGCAATGTTATGGTATCTATATTGCATAAAGTGCTATACTTTGCCATACATCATTTGTCTCATAATATATTATATTCCTTATAGCTTACAAATATTATTATTTTTTAAAAATCAACATACTTGCAAGTATTTTAACAGGACTTGATACAGGATGGTTTCATATTCTTATTTAGAGTACCAATAAAAATAAAGCGTTTACAATTACATTAGGAAATGATGAGGTGGAATATAACTGACCCTACACAAGTCAAGTGTTAAAGGACCATGATCATACAGCTAAGGAAAGAGAGAGGACAGTTTGGATAACCTATTAAAGGCAAATGATTCCATTATGGAACCACATTCCCTGGAGGAATCAAAGATGAGGACTGTGAATCTGGGCTCAGAGTCACTCCTAGTGTGAACACGTCACTGTTCTGATTGTGATATTTAGGTGGCACACATGTTTCAGACAACATAGTCCTGAACTGCATGAAACTGCTTCATTCCATGCTCTACTAATTATTACTCTGTTCCAATGTTCAGGATTCTGTTAGATTCCATGAGAGATGTATGCTAATACTGTTGGCTTTACATGATTTGCACCTTAATAATTAACTTTAAAACGTAATCATTCACAGCCCAAGTGTGGTGGCTCATGCCTGTAATCCCAGCATTTTGGGAGGCTGAGGTTGGAGAATGGCTTGAGCCCAGGAGTAAATTAGCTGGGTATGGTGAGGCAAGCCTGTGGTCTCAGCTACTTGGAAGGCTGAGGCGCAGCATTGCTTGATCCCAGGAGGTTGAGACTGCAGTGAGCCGTGATGGTGCCGTGGCACTTCAGCCTGGGCAGCAGAGAAAGACACACGTGCGCACGCGCGCGCACACACACACACTCATTACTCACAAGAAGTGCAGTTAATCCTAAGTTCTCCATGAGTGGCTTGTAGCATAGTGTTTACAAATAATGTTTGATCTTTATTATTTAGGGAATATATTACTTAGGAGACAGCCAGCAAGACACCAAATACAATGTGTTAAAGAGAAGGCACTGTATTTCTCTCTTGAGTAACAGTGAGTAGTTGAGGGATCCATGGCCAGTGGGAGGCTCTGCTCCATTTCTTCTCCCAGACACCCGTATTTAGTGGTTCTTACTACCATGCATACTCAACATATGGCCTCTATATCTGGTTCCACAGGAACTACAACAATGCAATTTTCCAGGCAATTTCAAGGGGGAGAGGAAGTGTAGGCAAGTTTGATCTTTAAAATGGCAACCAAAAGATAGTGTGGCTATATTTATTGTCCAAACCAGAACAACTTTGAGGGGGAAAAACGAGCATGCTAAACATAGTTACATATTTTTTGAAATATTTATTAACTGACGTTATTTTGTATTGTATCAGTAGATCTAAAAAAATTGTTCTACCCCGTCTCTACTAAAAATACAAAAAATTAGCCGGGCGCGGTGGCGGACGCCTGTAGTCCCAGCTACTCGGGAGGCTGAGGCAGGAGAATGGCGCGAACCCGGGAAGCGGAGCTTGCAGTGAGCCGAGATTGCGCCACTGCAGTCCGCAGTCCGGCCTGGGCGACAGAGCGAGACTCCGTCTCAAAAAAAAAAAAAAAAAAATTGTTCTAGAGAAAATATAAAGTAGTTAAACAGCGTATGTCCTTGTGCCTGCTGTCATAGAAAGGAAAGTGCTGGCTGTGTTGCATGTGTCTAGTGAGAGTTGAGGAAAGATAGACCAATTAGATTACTGGACATCTTTCAGATATAAGCTTCTGTTACAGTGAGAACCCTTCTTGCCCTGTCCTCACGCATGTCTCATGTACTATGAGAGGAAACCGAGGGAGAATCTGGAAGCACAGGACCCATCAGGGCCTACCTTAATGTAAGCATTAATAATGTGGTTAAAAATGAAAAATTTGGCTGGGCATGGTGGCTCATCCCTGTAATCCCAGCACTTTGGGAGTCTGACGTGGGCAGATGACGAGGTTAGGAGATCAAGACCATCCTGGCTAACAAGGTGAAACACCATCTCTACTAAAAACACAAAAAATTAGCCTGGCATAGTGGCGCACGCCTGTAATCCCAGCTACTCGGGAGGCTGAGGCGGGAGAATCGCTTGAACCCAGGAGGCCAAGGTTGCAGTGAGCCAAGATCATGCCACTGCATTCCAGCGGGGGCAGGGGGTGGAGGGAGGAGAAAAAGAAAAATTCTGGGATAAATCCTAAACTAGATAGGAAGATAGGAATACTGATAGGAAATGTAGTTTTTAGTTGGATCATCATGTATCCCACAAAATCTCAAGGCAAGATTCTGAAACAAGTAACAAGAAGATGAGAGGAAATTCTGCATAAATTAGTAGCCTCTGTCTCAGTGCCTTCCATGACTTTCCTGCTTTCTTGCTTTAAATAATTATTTTTAGTCCTTTAAAGCCATAAAGAGAAACAAAATACTTACAGTGTGTGAGCAAAAGTGTATTATTTCAGGGTAAGACTCAATGTCAAACTGTTGCTATTACTGATGACTTTTAGTAATACTTATATATAATAATTTTGCTGTAAAGCATTTAATTTATCTTATTATACTATGAAGCAACAGAAGTATCACCAAGAAATGCATTTAACTTAGAGCTAAATGATCTCTATGGTTCATTACCAACAATGATTTTCTGTAGTTGTATTATGTGAATCATATTAATGAATGACAGAAACATTTTAGATATAAATATGGGCACAATATTTTAAAATTGATTCAAACAATAATTCTTTTGCTTAAATATAATATTCCCATCTTTCAGAAGAATAAATTACCTAAAAAATGTATATTTCTTAAAACCACAGCAAAAACGGAACATAAAATATAATTCCAGATCTATCTTTTTCCATACCAGGATGCTCCCATTGTACTGTAACATTTGTTCTATGTGTGTAAAAAAACCGGGAAACTGCTAACCAAGATAGCAATGAAATGTTTTAAAAATCACATCAATGCAAGTTTCTGAATTAAAAAATTTATTTGTAAACCTTTAAAAATATAACAAAACATAATTCTATATTTAAAAGTTATTTAAAACAATGGTATATGACTTGCTGTGGTCACTATTTCGGAGTCACTAACTTGCATCGTTTGCACTTAGCTCTCTTCTTACCATTTCTCTCTGATATATTCATGAAAGTTTATTATACAGAGCCATACTAATAGCAAACTATGATAGAAATGGAAATAAAAAATATCAGAATTACATTTCCACATCCAAACGTCATTGAGTTGTATAGCTAGTTTCATAATCTTAATAAATATAGTGTATAACCAGTTTGTACATATGTATAACTTGCTGTAATAATTGAATTGTTTCAATCTTTAGAGAAACTTCAGGTATAATAAAGTAACATGTGATGTCTAATAAAGTGGCATATTTTCCAGTGTTCTTCTATGGTCATTAAGGTGTAGAAACTGCAAAAAGTTGGATTTTCATGGGCTGGATGCCAAGTAGAGAGAAGAAAATTATCTTTAATCCATGTAGTCAGCAATCAGAACATACATGTTAGGGTGATACATAAAGGAGTAAACTTGATTTTATTAAAAGATTGCTTGTATAATCAAAACAACCTTATTTTCAGGCTAAACTGAAAATAAAATAACTTTGTCATTTATGCTGCATATATTCATATATACATAGTATTTTATATATGTTAATTTACCTTAATTGAAACCTGTTATTCTTATACAAGTAACCAAGACGTACCCATTAGTAGTTCAGGATCAAATGTGATCATTCACATAGTACAATATACTCTCTTTGAATTTCTTTATCAACGTAATTTACATGGCCAAAAATGAATAAATTAGTGTTGAAATCAAATACCTTTTTGTGTGTTTTGTTTCTGAGACAGGGTGTCACTCTGTTGCCTAGCCTGGAATGCAGGAGTGCAATCACAGTTCACTATAGCCTTGACTTCCTGGGCTCAAGCAATCCTCTTGCTTCAGCTTCCCAAGTAGCTGGGACCACAGGCAGGTACCACCATGCCCAGCTAATTTTTTAAATTGTTTGTAGAGACGGAGTCTCACTGTATTGCTCAGGCTGGTCACAAAGTCCTAGGCTCAAGCCATCCTCCTGCCTATGCCTCCCAAAGTGTTGGGATTACAAGTATGAACCATTGCACCAGCCCTCAAATCCCATTTGTTCTACAATTGCCTTCTGCCAATGATTGTCACGCGTACTTAAAATAAGATTTTGTTTTAAAGGCATGTTTTTTGAAATGTAAAAATCTGATCTGCCTCAGAGATACAAAGTCAGGCTATTGAGGGAAGCCTGAACTTCATGAGTATTAAAATACACACAGATGATTTCAATGTTTAAGTGTGGGTAAGAGATAGAGCCTGTGGAAATGAGAGAGAAATTGTGTTGTATGTCAGGGCAATCTAGAGAAAACAGAAGCAATAGGATATGTGTTTGTGTGTGTGTGTATAAAGATATATGGTGTAAGAATTGGCTCACGTGTTTACGGAGTTAGGGAACCTGAAAAGTCCCCACTGTTAGTGGTCTGCAAACGGAGACCCAGGGGAGCCAGTGGTGTTAATTCCAGCCTAAGTCTGAAGGCCTGAGAATGAGAAGTGACAATGGTATAAGGCCTAGTCCAAGGGCAGGAGACAATCAATGTCTCCCCTCGTGCAGTCAAGCAGAGAGACAGCATTCTACCTTCCTCTGCCTTTTTGTTCTATTCGGGCCCTCAGCAGGTTGTATGATCCCCACCCTCATTGGGGAGGGCCATCTGCTTTACTTATTTCGCAGATGCTAATATCTTCCAGAAACATTCTCACAGAAACACCCAGAAATAATGTCTAACCACTATCTGGGCATCCTGTAACCCAGTCAAGTCGAAGCAGAAAATTAACCACCACACCCGTCTTAATCAAGCAAGAAAAGACTCTTCCAAAGTTGTTATACTTGTTAACAGATAAGAAAACAAAATGATTTTGTTTCTGAGAGCGGTAAGGGAGATTAAAGGAGGAAAAATCAGGCACAAGTGTAAAGAGGAAGGTGAAGTGAGTAAAGTGTTTTACCCATAACTCTGACTCCCAAAGCTTGACTGAATTCTCCAAAATACAGGAAATGCTGTTTGCTTGTGAAATTATGTATGCTTTCCGTAAAAGGTAGAAAGTGTTGCACAGGTTTACGCAGTCTTGAGAGGCAGAGATGAACCTGTCATTTGCAGATATGAACACAGCTCAAGGTGGTTACCCTGGACACTCAAGGAGGGGAAGTTAGATATTAGAACCAGGGATGGATGCTCACTGAGTTAGTCAGTCAGTCCCTGGATCACTCAGGGGAAAACTATGTTGATTTTTGGAGCTCTTTCTTTGTCTAGTTCCTACCTTAAATTTAAGATACTCGCTTAGTCCTCCTGCAATAGCATTTCTGTCCCTTTAACTCAGGGATTTCTCCAAGCTCTGTCTGGGTTCTGCTGTCAATGGTGTGGTCCGGTAGGTATCCCCAGGCAGAAATCAGGGGCTATTGTAGATCTTACGTTGTTTGTTTCTCTTCTCAACTGCGGAAAACCAGTCCTTAGGAGCCAATTGTCCAATGTTTGAAAATGATTGTTTCATATAGTTTGTCTAGTTTTCCAGCTGTTTATAAAGGAATCGGTTATCCCTTGATTAGAGATGGAACCTCTCATCTACTGAACATTTTACTTCAATTTAAAAGTTTTTAATTTTTTAAATTTTAATTTAATTACAGGATAATAATCCATTCTCCTAGTATAAAATTCAAATGTTAGGTAATAAATATTAATAAAAAAACTCCCTTCCACTTTAACTACCAGAGGCAAGTGATGTTACAAAATCCTTGTGTCTTCTAGAGTTATATGTATCTATAAAATAAAACAGTAAACTCAGCCATAATGAGATAATGGGGTCTAAAGGAATTAAATTGCACAAAATGTTTGGTCAAATTTATTGTGAGATTGATAAAAATTATTTTTTACTATTACTGTCACAAAAAGCACAAAATTCATGACTTTGAAACTTATTGCATGCATTCCTTATTAGTGAATTGAGTAATCCCCATTGATTGTGAGGCAGTGATTTCTATGACCCCTCCCCATCTCATTACTTATAAGTCATGTATGAGTCTCCTTTGTTCTATAACTTTTCTGACACTTGGGACTGGAATTTTAACTTTTCTTCACACTGGCTAGTGTAAAATGTCATCCTGCCCTGTGTTGAAATAGCATTTCCCTGGTTACCAAAATTAAGCATCATATATTAATTAACTATTCATGTTTTCATATTTTGTATAATGTGTGTATCATTTGTGCATTATTTAATTGGGTTATTTGTATTATTCTTTATATATTCTGGATATTAACACTTTGCTGTTTATATGTTGATTATATTAATATTTTCTTCTAGTTTGTTGGAAGCCTTTTTATTTTTCTGAGAGCATCTATTGATAAATATAAACTGTGAATATTAAAGTTATCAAATGTTCAAGATAACTTCATTCATTAAGTCTTTACAAGTCTTTTATAAGAATGTTATTCTTTTTTCAAACTTTTAAGTTCAGGAGTACAAGTGCAGGTTTGTTATATAATTAAACTTGTATCATGGGAGTTTGTTGTGATAATTAAAGACATATGTGACCTTTGAAACTTTAACAGTTTTGAAATAAATATAGAAGAATACAATTATGTTATTATAAATATATTCTTTATTGTCATTATAAAGAATATAGTCTTTATAATGAAATGTCTTTAATATTCAAGAAGTTTATATCTATGTATTATGTGGAATAAGCATAAGTTTTTTGTAAGGTTAGAATTTCAAGCCCCGAGCTCTGTTACTGAAGGAGTCAGCATGATGAGAATGATTAAACACGAACATTGAATAAATTTGTAAATTGAGTATAAAGAATTACGTGGTAGTTATAAGCATAACGAAGTCATGAAAGTGGATTTAAGTACTGTTGGTGTGTAGCAAAGGGTAAACATTGAAATAATAGAGAAATTTAGGAAACTTCAAATTTTGTGGGGAGATAAGGTGGATTTGGCAAAGAAGGATGAGAAGAATTAGCCAAGGAGGCTGGAGAAAAAATAAGAGAATATGGTGTCCTGAAGAAAAGAGAAAAAATATTTCAAGGAGCAGTGATTGTAGATGTCAAAGGAGTAGAATGTAGACGCTGTTGCTAAGTGTAATGTACTAGAATATATTACACTTGGCATTGTGTACTTTATTCATACATAAAGTATATGGCCAATGTATAAATAGTTACCTATATTAGTCATCTTGAAAACTGTTTCAGTGTAGAAGTAGAAGAATATAAGCCTGAATGAAATAGGTTCAAGAGAGAATGGGATTACAGTAATTGAAGACAAATGGTTAGAAATAAACAGCTATAAAGGAGAAATGGCTGGCCAGTCGCGTGGCTCACGCCCGTAATCCCGGTGCTTTGGGATGCCGAGGCGGGTGGATCACTTGAGGTCAGGAATTCGAGACTAGCCTGACCAACATGGTGAAACTCTATCTTTACTAAAAATACAAAATTAGTCGAGCGTGCTAGTGCACGCCTGTAATCCCAGCTACTTGGGAGCCTGAGGCAGGAGAATTGCTTGAACCTGGGAGGCGGAGGTTGCAGTGAGCCGAGATCATGCGATTGCACTCCAAGCACTGCAAGAGCTAAACTCCATCTCAAATAAAAAAAAAAAAAAAAAAAAAAAAAAAAAAGAAGTAGAATTCTGGAGGTATGCGACCTGGGGGTAAAGAAAGTTGTTAGTTTTTATCACATTAAATTAACTCCATTTTGTTGTTTTTTGATGTGAAGGACTTAGCAGAGGAATTAAAATTGCAGAAGCAGCAGCAAGAAAATTGCAGGGATGATAGCTCTAAATAGATAACAGGTGTGATGGTTAATACTGCGTGTCAATTTGATTGGATTGAAGGATACAAAGTATTATTCCCAGATGTGTCTGTGAGGGTATGGCCAAAGGAGGTTAACCTTTGTCAGTGAACTGGGAGACCCAAACCCACCCTCAATCTAAGTGAGCACCATCTAATCAGCTGCGAACGCTGCTGAAATAAAAGCAGGCGGAGCAAAGAGGAAATACGAGACTCGCTGAGTCTCCGGGCCTCTATTTTTCTCCCGTGCTGAATGCTTCCTGCCGTTGAACGTTAGACTGCAAGTTCTTCAGTTTTTGGACTCTTGGACCTACAACAGTGGTTTACCAGGGGCTCTCTGGCCTTCAGCCACAGACTGAAGGCTGCGCTGTCGGCTTCACTACTTTTGAGGTTTTGGGACTCGGACTGGCTTCCTTGCTTCTCAGCTTGCTGATGGCCTATCGTGGGACTTCACCCTGTGATCCTGTGAGTCAATACTTCTTAATAAACTCTATTTTATATGTACCTCTATCCATTTAATCCTGTCCCGCTGGAGAACCCGAATACAACAGGAGACAGGACCTAGTCACAGTTAGAGGGGTGGGCATTAGAAGCAGACAGTTTATCCGTATGAAAACGAGAGAGAACAGAATGTAGGTGTAGATACAGGAAGGTGAGCAGATGTAGCGACCAGAGATTTTGAAGTTCTTGCCAGATTACTACCTTTTTACAAGTGAAACAGAAAATAAACTCGTCAACAAGAGTGAAAATGGGAAGTAGAGAAAATAAATAAGAACTGTTACTCTGAAAAAGCGTGATAGTGAATGGAGCAGGGAATATTAATTTTTTGGGGGAAATATAAAGACACGAGATTTGCAATCATGAATTTAAGCTGAAACAAATCAACCAGATTCCCTCTTAGTTACTCTATTTTAAATTTCAGTTTCATTTTTTAAAAAATCTGAACACAATATCCATAGTTACAGTCTTTTACAGTAGCGTTTCACTGCCCTAAAAATCGTCTGGGCTCCACCTACTCATCCCTCTGTCCCCCATAACACCTGTCAATCACTGATTTTTTCAAACTGCTGCCATAGTTTGGCCTTTCTTGGAATGTCATGTAGTTGGAATCATACAGTATGTAGCATTTTCTGATTGGCTTCATACTGTTAGAAACACGTATATGAGATTCCTTCATGTATTTTTATGTCTTGATTGGTCATTTGTTTTTAATGCTGAATACTATTTCATTATCTGAGTGTGTTACAGTTTATCCATTTACCTAACGAGGGACATCTTGGTTGCTTACCAGTTTGGCAAATAAAGCTGCTATAAACATTCTTGTGCTGGTTTTAGCGAGGACCTGTTTTTAACTTCATTGGGTATATGCCAAGGGGCATGATTGCTAGATTATATGATAAGATTATGCTTAGTTTTGTAAAAATGCTGCCAAACTGTCTTCCAAAGTGATGTAACATTTTCATTTCTGCAGTGAATGAGGATGCACATTGTCCAGTATCCTCACCAGAATTTGGTGCTCTCTGCTTTTCATATTCATCAGGTTCCTTCTTCATAATTATTCTGCACTTACTTGGAAAATTAAAGTCTTCAACTCATTCCTTGCATCATTTCTTAAACAATCTTTAGTGAGTTCCTTAAAGTCTAAAAATCTCCAGAAGATAAAAGTTAACTGTATATTGAGAGCTGAAGGTGACAGGACCAAGGAGTGATATTAAGTTGGTGATGATATAAAACCTCAGCTGAAAAATTATTTTATCATCTAAGGCAGAGGTATGATTTTTCAGACACATTTCCTACATTTCCTTCTCTTTTACATGTGTGAACTTAAGATAGTCTGGAGTAGCATATTCTTAGGAAAAGCAGAACACTTCAAAAAATTTATGTTTAGAAAGTTAGACCTAACGTTTTCATGGTAATTAGACTAGACTTAGCTAAATAGAGCCATTTATTAACCTTTTGTATATATTGTTTTAGACAGATTTAGTAGATGATAAACTACTGAAGGAGAATAAAATAGTGTTAAGGCTACTTTGAGGAGGTATCTAATAAAAATAAGACAATTGTGGTATTTCTACTACCCACACTCCATTTAGAATACTAATAGGATAATAAAAATCACTAGTATGTAAAACAACTCACAGTGGTAAGAAGTATAAAAATATAGGTAGCAAATTTCAGTGAAGAATATTAACATTCATTAATGAGCTCATAAAATCAAACACTTAAAACCAAAGTAAGTATCTCAAAGTTGGTTTTAAAGGGTTTTGCTGTGGTGGTGGTTTTTGTTGTTGTTTTGCCAACAGCCTTCTCCTTATTAATACAACGGTAGTAGGCCAGTGAAAATTCATATGAATAATTTTATAAATAGGTATTTTACACAGTTAAATATTGATGTTTATAATCTATTACTGTAAATTAGTCACAAAAATGAAAAGACACATAGAGTGAATTTGAAAGGAAGGAAATATTAAGGAAAGTAGAATAAGTAGGGTTTAATTAAATCAAAAATTAGGTGAAAAATATTTGCAACCAGTAGGCAGTCCTCAAATATTTCCCAATGGGAACAAAATAGGTATATAGTGTGGATAGCAAGTATGGTTACAGCCTGCTTTTGTACCTTTTGGAAAGCACAACGAGGGGAATGTAATAGTTTGGTTTAGAGTACATGAATGTCTGTCTCTTTCTGAAAGTGTATAAAGGAGGTTGGGGACTGATTGTCTAAGACAATGAAGCACAAGGCGAAAAGTATGTATGCAGAAGTCAAACCGTAGTGGATTTTAGTTCTTATGGCAGCCAACTTGTCACAACTTCATCATGTCATCTGAAAGTATGAATCTTAATAGCTATCTCACCAAGTTGTTGTAAGAATCAGTGTATTAGCATACACAGTGGGACTTGGGTAGAATTTGAAACATAGAAATTGCTCAATAAATGAATCATTAATCTTATTAAACTCTGATTGACCATTAGCCATAGATAAGCAGATGTCCTCTCAAGAGTTAGAGAGAGAAATGTGGCATCATTGTGGGCTTTTTAAAATTACTAGCTCACTAATAATTTGTTACTTTAATTTTTATTATTATAATAAATTATATACATGCATACATATATATATTATTCAGGGTTCTCCAGAGAAATAGACTCAGCAAGACATATAGAAATATATAAGGAAAGATTTATGATGGGAATCAGCTCATATTCATTATTATGGAGGCCCACAAGTCCAGTGTTCTGTCTGTAAGCTGGAGAACCCATCTTCTGCTTTTTGTTCTCTTGGGGCAGGTCCCAGTGAGTTGGATGATACCCACCAACATTGGTGAGAGGGGACCTCTTTTACTCCTGATTCTTGACTACAGATTCAAATGCTAATACAGAAACACTCTCACAAAAACTCCCAGAAATAGTGTTTTCCCAGCCGTCAGGGCATTCCTTAACCCAGGCAAGTTGACTCATAAGAATAACCATCAGGCCAGCACACCAGTAATCCCAATACTTTGGGAAGTAAGGTAGAAGATTTGCTTGAGGCCAGGAGCCAAGATCAACCAGGGCAACATAGTGAGACCCTGTCTTAAAAAAAAAAAAATAGCTAGGCATGGTGGCGCAAACCTGTAGTGGGATGATATCTTGAGTCCAGGAGTTTGAGGTGACAGTGAGCTGTGATGACACCACTGCATTCCAGCCTGAGTGACACAGACAGACCCTGTCTTAAGTAAAAAATAAAATAAAATAACTATCACAATGTGTATATTCAACATTGTACTATTTGAACTAATATATTGCTTGTTGTGTGTGTGTATATATATATCATTGATATGGAACTTGTCATATAATTCCTTAATTTGGAATTGCTTCAGATTATTTTATCCTCTAGCTGTAAGACCCTCATTAAAAGATTCTGAAAGATTTGGATAGAAATTTGGTTTTATCTCCAACAATTTATAGCACAAAGTTGTCTTGTAAATAAAATCCAACCAATAAAGACATAAAACAAGCTGAAATATTAGCTCTATTGTGAGCCAACAATGAAAATTTAATCTTAGTACATTTTGAGTCACATGGGTTCTCTTTTGCTTTAATAACAATCACTGGAATGAAAAATGAATCATGCATGGATATGATCCTTTAAAAAAGGACTTTTGTTAAAAACCTTTTTATAGTTAATAATGTTTGCTGCTACTTTCATATACAAATTACAAAATTTATATTTACAATTACTTATTAGTTGCTTTACTTGTATTCTGGCAGCAACTCCACAATTCTTTTATTATGAATTGGAAAACATACCACTTCTAGAAGGTGATAATATTTAGATATTGAAATATACTGGAATAAAAAAGCAAATAAAACTATACATTTTCATTAGACTCATATTGAAATATAATTCTTTTGCTTTTTAATAGTATGATATTAAACATTAAACTTTTCACTTTGTGTTACAATGTTTAGAGCTGTATCAGAATCTACTTGTATGGTTTGAAATATTCCACTTCCTTAAAAAACAACAACAAAATAACTCATTGGATAAGTCCACAGCCTGATGCTAGATTGGAGAAGAAAAAATATGTATCTGAATACTTAATTCTTCTGGCATTCAGTACAGACATTTGGCTGCTTCAACTATAAAGACATCCAAAGAATGGCTTTAATTACAGCAGATTTGACCTTTTCAAATTTATCTCACACATTTTGGAATGATGCATTTGCAAGATTAAAGCTGTCTGTGACTTTAAAAAAAATCCAATATCTCTTTGGTGGCTAAAATCATTTGGATATAATAAAAGGTTTTGTCAAGGACAAGTAATTGATTTTTAGTGTGAATCAAAATCTAACAGTAAATTTAAGTGTTTTAGTTTTTGAGTATGGTTTCAAAGTTGTTTGGAGGATAATTTCTGCAATATGTAATTTAGAAAAGTATTTTTAAAAAATTTTAATGGACCTGTATGTTTTAATTTTTTATACAGGGCTACCTAGTATAATTTCTTTTTTTATTCTTGAAATTAATTCATGGAGCGCTCTACAAAGTAAAACCATGACTAAACATTGAGGAATAATTATGATGACTATTGCTGCAAAATGTGCATCTGATACTAATCAAATAGGTTTAAGAACTAATTTTTAGCATCACTTTCTGTGTGAACACACAAGTTTATGTGTGTGCTCACATATATGTGTGTGTGTTTCTGTAGATTTAGAAGTCTATAGACCCAAAATGCATCTTAATCAACTGCATGGATTTTTAAGATTTTTAAAAATGATTCAGAAATTTGGATGTTTGCATATGCATATCATTTGGTATGATAATGCAAATCAAAAGTGTTTTATTCTCGTTTTCATGTGTTTAGCAGAGTATCTTTAGTACATCAGTTGTGAGTGCAAAAAATGGTTTGTTTATTTAGAGAATATTAAATTGTGTTGTTGCAAGTCACTCTTCCCAGTTGCAGGCAGCCATTCATCAATAGAAAGATTCTATTTCTGTTGACAAGAGACTTCTTCTTTCCCCTATAACTTTCCCCAATCTTGTCCTCCCACAGAATGACTTATGCAAAATTTGGCAATTAAAACTAGTACCCATGGGGTATTACTTAAAGATATTATTTTTCATAAAAACTTTTTTTTTTTTTTTGAGACAGGGTCTTGCTCTGTCGCCCAGGCTGGAGTGCAGTGGTGTGATCTTGGCTCACTGCAAGCTCTGTCTCCTGAGTTCACACCGTTCTCCTGCCTCAGCTTCCCGAGTAGCTGGGACTACGCGTGCCCGCCACCACGCCTGGCTAATTTTTTTGTATTTTTAGTAGAGACAGGGTTTCACCATGTTAGCCAAGTTGGTCTCGATCTCCTGACCTCGTGATCCACCCACCTCGACCTCCCAAAGTGCTGGGATTACAGGCTTGAGACACCTCGCCCGGCCGCTTTTTCATTTTTTACTTCTGTTGACATATAAGATTTCAGTTCTATTCATTTGTGAATTTTCACCACATGTTTTCACTAATACCTATCACTAACACCTATGTAGTTGACAATTCTGGGTCAAAATTGATATTTTAGTTTTTGGTAGAAACATTTGTTGATGTATTGAATTCATTTTTTAATGTTATGTATACTTTCTTGCCTAATATTTATTCTAGGGTTGATGGTGAAAAATTCATGATATTTTAATGAAGTTATTTCATATGTATAATGTGATAACAAAATTAAAGAACTTTGGTTTAATCTGAATGCAACAGCATATGGAGGAGAAAGCTTTTCTTATTCTTAATAATCTTATACATAAAAATGAAATGTGAAAATAGTTACAATTTTAAACTATTTTACCTTAGTAAAATATGATTTTATCTGTTTCTCTAATACATAAAGAGAGTACTTCATAAACCTTTGTAATACATTTTAATAAGTATGGGAACAGGTGTGAATTTTATTATAGATTTTAATTCATTCTAAATTACCTCTTTAATGTTCAGTGACCCAGTTAGTTATTTATTTTAACTGAGCATTTCTCCTAGGTATCATTCAGAATTAGCAAGACCCATGAAATGTAAAATACTATTTATATTTTACAAAGACTCTTGGATTACCACTTCACCATCAGTTAACACCAACCGGGTCTTGCAGTTCTTGAAAAACTGCACAAGAAGATGGGGGTAACTTTTGTGGTTTAGGGTGAGAACTATTTGTTAAATTGTCTTCAGGGATAACTTAGCATTGATAATATAACCTTTTTTTGTTTTTGAAATAAAAACTAAACATTTTTATAAAGAGTTATTTATAGGTACAATATTAGTTTTTAAACTATTCTACATACACAAACAAATTTGTATAGAATAAAGTTTGAATGTATACAGGAGGAACATTTTAATACTGATATATTCCTTCTCCCAGTTAAATAGGGCAATACATGTTGCCTTTTGAGACCAGTAGAATGGAAGAGGATCCTTGCAATATGGGAAAACATTTACCACTGCACGCTTAAACATCAATATTGAGTTTTCTTATAATGTAATGATATCCCAGTATATGGTTGGGATAATTATCATGAAACTACTTTGGGTCTTTCTGTGTGTTAAAAGTATCACATTCTAAGTGATAAAAGTAAGTACAAAGTGAATATATAAATATCAAGCCTTGAGTTCATCAACTCACCACTATTCAGACTCAAAGACAATGGTATGGTAGGTCTGTGAATGGTACTGCAGAGGTATTGATTGGGTAAATACCTCTCTGGCTTTCAATCTAGTTAAAACCATGAACAAACAGCTTTCTTAAATAAAATATAAGCCTTTAATTAAACCTTATTTACCTTTAAATAAAGATATTAAACAAGATTCATGTTTTTCCATCATTTCAAAAAGATTACTGAGAATTTAATTCACAATTTAAGCTGCACAAACCAACTAAAGGTCACTTCTAAAATTACAATTGGAACTCTTAAAATTCATATAGTAAGACCTATGATCAAATGCTGAATTGCAAAAACCAGAGAAGCAAATTTCTTATTTGAGAAATGTAGTTTGGTAGGAACAGTCTTACAGATACAGGAGAAATAATAAAAGATTTTATTATTATTTATTAACTGCCACAGAGGTAAACAAATGAGATTCGGAAATTCAGCTTATATAACTGTGGGTATGTCTCAGTATCTCAGATGATGATGTATTTATTTGTCATTATTTCTTTGACATAGATACGATATTCATTGGAACCCTTAGTAAAATGCCTGAGAAGTGAATCTATTCATTTATTTAGAATCGTCATAATAGCAATTATTGGCAGATATGTATTTCATGTTTAAATTAACACTTGGAGTGATTTCTTAAATTCAGTGCTGTTAAATGGGCACGGAAATTATTATTTTTATTTATTGAATAGCTTCATAATATTTAGTAAATATTAAATTGGCTTTCAGCTTTATGTAGCTGATGTGACATTTGTGGTAAATTACTTTTCCAGGGAGTTGGTAATAATTATAGGATACGTTGAATAATTTCTTAGCAAAAGGAATCCTTATTTGAGGAAATTCATATGGGGGAACACAGTCTCCACTGAGAAACTCAACCCAGAGACTATGTCTTCCTTGTATATGTCATCAGAATAATTGGATGTTGTATCATTCATATATATATAAAATATATCATTGGAATGGTATGTGTGGCTGTTATCAGAAAAGTGGCATACATATTACAGGTGTTTAATGAGCATCTTTAGTACAATAGTACTATTTCTATAAGTATGATTTATAAGCATACGCTAATTAATGTATTTTTCAGCACTGCAAATTATTCACTATTATGTGATAATGAGTACACTACATGAGTCAAACAATAACATTCTACAATGACACAGATTGTCTATATTCTGAACCATTTAGTAGTTTTGACAAATATTAAATTGCCATGCTTTAGTCAATGTTACATTTAGGAAGAAAGCCCAAGTTATAAAACATTGAGTTTTTAAAGGCAAGCATTAGAAAAAATAACATTAATTAGATGTAATTAAAGTGTCTGGCTGAGAATGTGTTTTTTTCCAAAGTATTCAAATAAATGAAAGCAGGTTTTCTTGATGGCACTCCTTCAGTTAACTTAGGGTAGCGCCTCTTACTGGTACTGATGAAGTGATGATTGTGCCTGGGGCCAAGCTTACTAAAGATCTGATAAGCAAGTAAAATTGTTAACACGACTTATTGTGTCTCAGTGCCAGTGTCTAAATACACAAAGAACTGCCTATTTTGATATCAGTGGAGGACTATGGCAAAGCAATCTTTTCTAGGAACTCGAGTTCGAATGACTTTCTTTTGAGGTCTTTCCAAGAGAGTGATTTCATACATTTGGCACTTTTTATACATACCTTTATGTATTCATCTCCGTTCTGCATCAGAAAGGTTCTTAGTTTAATTACTGATTATCTCCAACCGTCATATAGTTAGTCTTTATTGTGTGCTCAGAAATAAACTTGGACAGAAAATAAATGGATAAAAATCATTTCCTAAACATGATTTTTTCAAGCAATTCTCCAAGAAAACTGGGGTTAGGAATATTGGGTCTGGAATTAAATAACTTTAATTCTTGCTGTGCTATTTTTTTAAGTTGTGACTTTTGACAAATTTTGCAACATTTATAAGAATTTGTTCCTTCCTAATTAAAATGAAATTAATAATAGCATCTACCTCATAGAGATGAATAAATTATATCTCTTAATTCTTACTACACGTATTAAGTGCTACTATGTGCCAACAAATTGACCAGGCACTGGAGATTATAAAAGAGTGAGGAGAAAACAAAGAAATAACCTCATTGTGTGCAGAAAAAACAAAACTCAGCATTTTTTTTTCTATTTTCTTACACAAAAATTAGCATAGATTTCTGTTACCAAACGTTGCGAGAAGTTTTTCCCACATATAAAGTAGTGGACACCAGTTGTCTTTTAATTCAGTTCTGATGCTGTCTACCTGGAGACAGCATCAGACCTCACAGATTGAGTGCTCAGTCTTCAAGACTGCACTGCTTCAGATGCCAGACATCAGTCCAGACATCTAGAACTTCTGACCAACCCAGCTTCAAGCTGGGGTTCCCATCAACCCATCTTTGGGTTCAATTAACTTGCTGGAGTGGATCACAGAACTCAGATAAACACATTTACTGGTTTATTATAAAGGATATTACAAAAGAATTAGATAAATTCACAGGACAAGATATATGGGAAGGGGCACAGAGCTTCCATGCCCTCTCTAGGAACCTCCATGTGTTCAGCTCTTCAGAAGCTCTCCTAAGACATTCTTTCTGGGTTTTTATAAGGGCTTTATTATGTAGACACGATTGATTAAACCATCAGCCATTGGCCGTTAACTTAACCTTTAGCCAATATCTCCTCCCTGAAAGCCAGGGGTGAGGTTGAAAGTTCTAACCCTCTAATCATGCCTTGGTCTTTCTGGTGACAAGTCCCATCCTGAAGCTACCTAAGGGATACTGGCCATCATTCCATCAGTAGCGTACAAAGAGACACCACTTCAAAGATTCCAAGGATTTTAGGAGTTGTATGCCAGGAAATGGGGACAAATGCATTTTATAATGCCACACTCATGGAGACAATCATTTATCAGATAATCACACAAATATAGATTTACAATTATGACATATGCTATGAAGGAGAGATTCCTGGTATGTTCCATGCATATGTGAGAGGGATTGGATTTGAGACAACAAGTAGACCAGACTGAGATCTCCAGAGCAAGCTGTATTTAAGGTCATATCTGAAGAAAGTAAAAGTTAAATAGGAAAATGCAAAAACCCTTCACAACAAAGAATTATCCAGCCCAACATGTCAATGATGCTGAGGTTGTCTTTCTGTATAGGTAGTAGTAAGATGGTGAAATTTAAAATCTGTCATAAGGATGTTTAAAAGCCATGTTTTTCCTTAGAAATGATAGGGCACCATTGAAGCAAAAAGTGGAGGGGTAGGAAAAGTGGTGGTGGTGACTTGCTGGATTTTCATTTTGAAATAATCCATTTTGGTTGTGGCATGGAGAACTAATTAGAAAGAAACAGGCCAAGAGGAGGCAAGAGGACAAGTGAGTAGGTTATTATAGTGGAAACAAGGCAGGATAACAGTAGATTCAATTAGGATGGCAATGGAATGTATGTAAAGTTAGTGTATACATGAGGCCTAATACATGTTAAGCATAATGCAATTTATTACTTTATATTCATTATTTGTTAGATGATGGGCAGCTTGATTTATCTGAGGTTACTTGGGCACAATAAGCTTGTTATATTTCAATGTACTTTGAAAATCATCAGGCTAATTTTATGGAGAGTTACTGAATTGAAAGTCTAGGAGAAACTGATTTTTATGTTTTTCTCTAAAAATTTGCATGAACTTGAATAAATTACTTAAGGTGTTAGTGTCTACGGTTTATCTGTGGCATTAGAAAGATAAAATGGATAATTATTTAAATCCTCATTTAACTCAAAATTTAAATACGTTAAGTCAATTATTTGCTGCACATTCAATATTGTGGAGTTAGATGAGGCACCACCTTTGCTCTCAAGATCTAATAAACTAGAAGATAAGATCAGACATGTATGAAACAGCTATAAGCCATTTTAAAAAGAGGCATTGAATAAAAATTTTGAGAGTGCAAAATAATTCCTGAAAGGTAACATCTTATTATTAGAGCAAGATATTTAAAATAAATTGATATTAGCCATATCATAAAAGTTTACTTCTTTATGCTTGTGCTCTAAAGATAAGGGTAGTCATTTTCATATGGTTTTTGTTCTAATTTATTTGAAGGATCTAGTGAATGAAATAGATTACTGCTGATGCCTATCACCCAATCTGTATATATCATTCTATCTGTATTATGCTGATGAACTCAATCAAAATCACATTACAACTTATGTAAAGTAATGTAGCTAGAAAGTGATGGAACTGGAATGATCATTAAACCCAAACTCATAAGCGATGTGCCACCTCTTTGAAAAAATGTAAGTGAAAATGTGTTGTGAATTAAGTATGTTTAGCATGTCTTTGCCATACATTTTTTATTAACACTTAGGAACTAATTTGACCCATATTAAATGGTCAATATTAAATTATTTGTGTTCTAATATATTATTTGTTTCAAAATAATATTTAAGTATGTTTTACATTTTCCAGAAAAGGGAATTACATAATCTTTAGCATGTGTGCAGTTTACTCTCAGAGAATGACTTTGCATCAGTAGGATCTGATTTAAGAAGATGTCATTTTCATCAAAAGCCTATTTAAATACTATTACAGTATGATGTAACTTGCTCTAGGAGTGTTATATGTCATAAGCAAGCACATGAGGAGGATTCTGGAAAGATGGAAGTGTAGGAAGGACCGAAAATATGCCTTCAGAACTAGAGAATAATTACACTGTCAGAATCTGTTACTACTTTGGAATTCTGATGTCTATTAAAGACTTGCAATTTCTGGAACAAGGTTTGGATGGTAAATTGTAGTTAATTTCAGTCGATTGCTCCTCGTAGCACAGTAGCAACTACCCATCTCAGAGCCCTCAACACATGACAGGCACCTGTATGTTCCTGAAGCAGTTTGCACACAGTTTTAGGGAACCAGAGTGGCAAAAAGGATTCTGTCCTCCAAATATAAGAGATTTGTGCTCAGATTGGTGATTATTGCTTCTGATTATAGAAGTACAGATAAAGAGACAATGGCCATTGTTTTTGCACTTGCCCCCATTGTTGAAAGCTCTTCCCCACTAGCTGAAGTGACTTTCACGGAATTAAAAGGGCCAGTGCCCCACCACTTATTTTTCTCTTTTTTTAAACTTTTGGAATCCAGGTATTAAAGACTAGCATCTTCAGAAGCAACCTCAAATATGGGAAAAATTACAAAGTTATTATGAATGTCCAGGAGAAGTCACAGTTTCAGAAATGACTTCTGAAAACATTAAGTTTACACCTCAAGACTAATTCACTAAAAGGGAAGAGTCTATAAGAATTAAAAATAAATAAATAAATAAGCAAAAACAAAAACCAGTAAAACCCGAGGAAGTGAGGAGAATCTAAAGGGATGCAGAAAAACAGAAATATATGACCTATTCAGAAGAACAAATAAAAAAAACTGTTCTTGAAAACAATCTGATGACAGATCCACGAGACAAAGATTTTAATACACTGGTCTTCAAGATGCTCAGAGTATTAAAGGAAGACATAGAGAAAATCAAGAAAACAATGTATAAACAAAATGAAAATATTAATAAAATATAGAAACCTAAAAGAAATCAAAAGGTATTTTAGAGTTGAAAACTACGGTAACTGGAACAAAAAGTTATTAGAGGATTTTAAAAGCAGACTTGAGCAGGCAGAGTAAAAAATTCCACAAACTAGAAGACAGGACAGTGGAAATTATTGAGTCTGAGGAATAGAAAGAAAAAAGATGGAGGTTAAGTGAAAAAAATTTAAGGAACATGAGGGAAACCATCAAGCAGAGCAATATGTGCACTGTGAGAGTCCCAGATGAAGAGGGATACAGTGGACAGAAATTATGTTTAAGGAAATAATGACACTGAATTTTCAAGAGTATAAAGATCCAAGGAGCTCAGTGGCTCCAAGTATAATAAACTAAAAGACTCTCACTTCAATACATGTTATAATCTAGACCTTTGGAAGACAAAGACAAAGAGAGACTATTGGAAGCCAAAAGACAAGTGACTCTTCACATGCAAAGGATGCTCAATAACATTACAGAAGATTTCTCTTCAGAAACTTTGGAAACCACAACGCATTGAGCAGATATATTTAAAGTAGCAAACAAACAAAAAAACTGGCAACCAAGAATCCTTTATCCAACAAACTGTCCATTGATAGTCAAGGAGAAATTAAGACATTCTCGGATAAAGAAAAGCTGAATAAGGTGAATAAGTTTATTACCACTAGGCCTGCTCTGCAGGAAATGCTCAAGGGATTCTATCAGGGTGGAATAAAAGAAAACTGGACAGTAACTTAAAGCCGTATGAAGAGATAAAGATATCAGTAAAGATAAACTGTGAGCAATTATGAAAGCTAGTATTATTTTAACAATATTTTATAACTCTACTGTTTGTTTTGTACATGATTTAAGAGAAAAATACATTAAAAACTTATTAGTCTAAAGCTGGTGTTATTGTAACTTAGTGTTGTAACTTACATTTTGTTTTCCTCATAAGAGACTAATGTATTAAAAATCATTTATGTTTTTGGATATACAGTGTATAGAGATATAATTCTGTGTCATCAACAACTGAAATAATTGGAGACAGAGGCATCAAAAGAGCAGAGTTTTCTACGTTATTGAAGTTAAGCTGATATAAATTCAAATTAAAGTGCTATAACTTTAAGATGTTAAATATAATCCCCATGGCAACCACAAAGAAAATGGCTAAATAATGTACATGAAAGAAAATGAGATATGAATTTAAATGTCTTCCTTCAGAAAATCAACATAAAAGATACAGTAATACAAGAAAGAAAAGACCCAAAAGCTACAAGGCATATAGAAAAGAAAATCACAGAAGTTAGAAATTAATCCTTTCTTATCAGTAATTACTTAAATGTACATGGATTAAAAATGATGCAACTGTACAGGAGACTCCCTCTTTATCCAAAGACACAAATAGATTGAAAGTGAAAGGTGGAAAATAATATTCCATGCAAATAATACCACGGATAGTTAAACTAATATCAGACAAAATAGATTCTTAAGAAAAGGTTCCACAAGAAAAGGACATTATATACTACTAAAATGTCCAATACTGGAAAAATATTTAATAACTATAAACATTTATGTACCTAATAGCAGAACATCAAAACATATGAGGCAAAAGTTGACAGGACTGAAGGGGCAAACAGACAGTTGTACAAAAATAGGTGAAGATTCAGTACTCTACTTTCAATAATAGGGAGAAACATCAGAAGTAAGGAATTAGGGGACATGAACAATGCAATAAACTGGATATAATAGAGATATATGGAACACTCTACTGAACAAAAGCAGAATACATATTCTTCTCAAGGGTACATGGGGCTTTTTCAAGGATAGACCATATGTTTGCCCACAGATTAAGTATTGGCATATTTTAAAATATAGATACCATAAAAAGTGTGTTATCCAACCACAATGGCATTAAATTAGGAATCAATAACAGAAGAGAAACAGGAAAATTCACATATTTATGGAAATTAAAAAACTCTGAACAACCAATGATCAAAAGATAAAATCACAAGGGATATAAAAATATTTAGAGGTGAATGGAAATAGAAATATAGCAAAACTTAAAGAATACACCAAAATCAGTGTTACATGGCGTATTTATAGTTATAAATGTTTAAAAGACAAAATATGTTTCAAGTCAATAAACAAACTTTATAACTTAAAGAATGATAAAAAGAAGAACAAACTAAACCCAAAAGTAACAGAAGGGAAGAAATCATAAAGACTAAAGCAGAGATAAACAAAATAAAGAATAAAAAATAAAGAAAATCAACATACAAATTAGGTTCTTTGAAAAGATCAACACAACTGGCAAACAGCTAGATGAACTAAAAAAAAAAAAAAAATACCACTCAAATTTCCAAAATCAGAATTGAGGGTGGAGACAGTACTACCCATTCTACAGTTATAAAAAGGATTATAAGAGTCCTACATGCAACTGTGAACTAAAAATTGGATAACCTTAATGAAATGGACAACTTCATAGAAAGACAAAATCACAAAGAAATAGAAAATTTGAATAGACCTATAACTGATAAGAAGATTGAGTTAGTAACCAAAAAAAAATCTCCTGACAAAGAAAAGCCCCAGATTTGATGGCTTCACCAGTGGATTCTACCCAAAATTTAAAGAATAACTAACATCAATTCTTCTCAAACTTTAACAAATGTCGAAGAGGAGGGAAACCTTCCTACATCAGCCTATGTGGTAAGCATTACCCAGATAGCAAAGCAAGACAAAAATACAAGATACAAAAACTAGAGACAAGTATTCCTTATGAACATTGATACAAAGCTCCACAACAAAATACTAGCAAAGTGAATTAAAAAGTATATTAAAAAGGTTACAAACCATGGCCAATAAGATTTATTCCTGGATGCAAGGATGTTTCAACACATAAAAGTCAATCAAGGTAACACACCACCTAAAGAGAATGAAGGCAGAAAAACACATGATCATCTCAACTGATGCAGAAACAAACAAACATTTGGCAAGACTTAACACACTGTCATAATAAAAAACTCAAAAAACTAAGAGTAGAGGGAAACTTCCTTAACATAATAAAAGCTGTCTAGAAAAACAGCAAACATCAATTTAATGGTTGAAGACTAAATGCTTTTACTTTTAGGTCAAGAACAAGACCTGATAGTGCCTTTTGTTACACATTTTTGAAAATATTTTCACAAAATACAGTTTGTCTGTGTTTTGTTTTGTTGTCTGTGCCTTTAGTATCATATTCAAGAAATCATTACCAAATCCAGTGTCATGAAGTTTTTGCCCAATGTTTCCTTAAAAAAATTTTATAGTTTTAGATTTCATATTTGGGTCTTTGATTAATTTTTAGTTAATTTTGTTATATATGGTATTAAGTAAGGGTTCAACTTCATTCTTTTGCATGTGGATATCCAGGGTTTTTTTTTTTTTTTTACACCACTTGTTAAAAACTTCGTATTCTTTTCCATTGGTCTACATGCCTGTGTTTATTCCAGTACTACACTATTGATTACTGTATCTTTATAATAAGTTTTAAAATCAGAAAGTGTGAGCCCTCCCAGTTTGTTCTTCTTTTTCAAGCTGTTTTTTGGCTATTTGAGCTCTCATGAGATTCCATTCTAATATTATTCAACATAATATTAGAAATTCTAACCAGAGAAATATGTAAAAATAAATGACAAATTGGAAAGGAAGAAACAAAATTATCTTTTTGCAGATAATATGATCTTAAATATAGAAAGCCCTAAAGATTCCACAAAAATATGGTTAAGATTAATAAACCTATTCAGCAAAGTAGCAGAATATTAGTCAACACAAAAAATCAGTTGTATTTTATACATTAAAAATAAACCATTTGAAAAGAAAGTTACAAAAGCAATTAAGTTTACAATAGCATCAGAAATAATGAAATAGAAATTAACCAAGGAGGTGATACATTTGTACAATGAAAGAAAACTCAAAAAAAAATTCTTAAAAGACATTCTATGCCCATGGATTGGAAGGTTTAATATTGTTAAGATGACAGTATTACCCCAAATGATCTACAGATTCAATGCGATCCTTATCCAAATCCCAATGACTTTTTCTTGCATAAATAGAAAACAAAATCCTAAAATTTATATAGAATGTCCTGGGACCCCAAAGAGCACAATCAAGCTTGAAAAAGAAGAACAAAGTGGAAGCGTTCATACTTCCCGGTTTCAAAACTTACTTTAAAGCTACAGTAATCAATAGTGTGGTACTGGCAAAAATAGGCACATAGACCAATGGAATAGAATACAGAATTTTTAAAAACTGGTACAGAAAGATGAATGTTGTCAAAAAATTGGGTCGAATGAGGCATAGTTTTATAATGGGTATAGTTTTAGTTATGCAAGATGAAAAGACTTATAGAGACAAACGATAATGATAGTAGCACAACCGTATGAGTGTACTAAACAACACTAAATAGTATGGTTAAAAATATTTAAGATAGTAAATTTTACTAAAATAATAAAAAGGAACACAAATTACATGGAATTTTTGTAAATGCATAAATACCTGTGTGTTCCATTTTTTTTTCTTGCACCTCTATATGTTTTTTCCATTTAGTATAGTTAGTTGCTTATATTTAGGTCTTCTTCACAAAAGTGCAAATTCCTTAATGTCAAATCCTAATTATTATTCCAATTGGATAGAGTGCAATTGAGTGTCACAATGTTAAATATTTAAAACATGTCTATGAGAAGAGTCAATTATTCTGGATAATATAGAATGATATTTTAAGGAGATAATAAAAGTATGGCTGCCTGGAAGTAAATCTGTTGTATATATTAAATAATTAATAATTGAATGAGGTAAATTTTTGAAAGTCTTTTCCAAATGCCTACTAAGTATTAAAACGTTTTCAGAAAGTGGAAGCATTATATAACAACATCTTTGACAGTATTCCCAAATCAATATGTTATGTCCAGCTGTCTCAATAACTCCTGTGCATTGGTCCTGAAAGAGCTTAGAGTGTACTGCAAGCAACTACGTTTTGTGATGGCAGCTTTCAGAATTTTTTTATAAGAAGTGAAATCATAAATATTTTTATAATGGCCTAAAAAGCAATTTTTTAAATGACATGTAAGTTATTTTTGTAGGACTTTGCGTTGAATATCTTGCTAGTCTAAAGTCTTTCTGCATGGTTTGTAGAAGAGTTTTGCAGCAGGCTGTCACTGAAAAACTCCTCAGGGATATGAGCTGGCCTTTAAATATGGTACTGAAACTGCCATACTGATTCGTCTAGGTCAGTGCATGTCAAGCTAATGGTCAAATCAATCACCTGGAGATTTTGTTAAAGTGCAGTCTCTAATTCAGTAGGTCTAGTATAGAGCCTGAGATTCTGCATTTCTAAAAGGCTCTACAGTACCCATTTTGAGCAGCAAGTGTTAACTGTGAAAGAAATTACACATGTGTAAGGAGGTGAGAGACATTGGGGATATTGCAATGTTGGTTGGAGTGATAACTGGGGTAAGCTATATTCATTGTGTATAGAACAGAATGCTAAAACTAAGAGTTGTTCTGAATAGAAGCCATTTCAGTTGAAGAGGATATTTCCTGTGGGACTAGCTGTTCATAGGACTACTGCCAAAACAAGTTATCACTATTGAGGGAAGTGTCTACAAGGAATGTAGGAGATGCTTTTGATGGGAGCTGACAGAGAATCCTACAGACAGCAGCCCTGCGAAGGAACCTGATTGGATGAGGATAGCATTCTGAATCACCAAGGCACCCTGAATTCCTTTTCATATCTTTTCTCAGGGTGGTGTGGTGCTTTCTCCAAGTGCTATGGGATGAGAAGAAAAAGTAACATTTTCCTATGGGAAACATATTCAGATTAAATAATCAAAATCTAGGTTCAGGATCTGATTCAGTTATAGATGTCTGATTTTAACAGGAGAATATGGGCCAAATGAAAGTATCAGCTATCATTTTATTAAATATTAAGGAATAATTAAAATAAAATAATTAACAATACTGTCTCAAACAAGTATCTAAATTGAATACAAATTTTAGACTCCCAACTTTAGCATCTGACAATTAGCTCTAAAGTTAGGCATCTTGCTATTGTACCTTTTGAAACACTACACACACTTGTCTTTCTTGATCTAATACACAAGGCAAAGCAGGGACAAAATCTACTTCTTTGGATTTGGAATTCGTCTCTCTGTTCTTTGGTATTTCTCAGTTGGTGATTACTCAATTGGTCTTTAGATACATTTCTTGTTATTATGCACATCTTTCTATGCCCTGAAGAGCTATTTGCATGCCTGACCCTCTCCCACTGTCAATGTTTAAAGTAATTTTGGGGCACCACAAATCGTCCCACTGCCTTTCCATACCCTGCAAGTGAGCACTGACACCCAGTGAAAACTGCTCTCCAGTTAATATACAATTTCTTGTATATTGATAAATTTAATTGATAAATGCCTTCATTATCCTAAATATCGTGTGAATGTTTTAGGACAGTGGTTTCTGAATTTAGGCTTTTGAGTTTTCAATCATGGATGAATAACTCTTTTAGCTTGGACAGTTTTCATTCCCTTTTATTTGCTTAACTTTTAAATTGTCAAAATGTGTAGTAAAAAGTACCTCATATTTTTGTTTATTATTTTGAAATAATTTTATATTTACAGAAAAGTTGCAAAGTTAGCAAAGAGAATTCATGTATACACTTCACCTAGCTGCTCCTAATGGTAGCAGTTTACATAATCAAAATACATTTAGCAAAATTAAATAGGTACTATGCTGTTGACCAAGTGACATGCCTTATTTGAATTTCACTTAACCCACTAAGGTCTCTTTTTTCACCAGGATATAAATCCATACCCCATGTTCTGTTTAGTTGTGTCTCAGTCTTCTGCAATTTATGGCATAATCTCCAGTTTTTTCTTGTCTTTTTATGGCTTGACTCATTTTAGGAATACTGTTTAGTTATTTTGTAAAATATGTCTCTCAATTTGGGGTTCTCTGATGTTTTCTTTTGATTATATTGCGTTTATGTTCCTTGCTTTTATTTATTTACTTATGGTTGGGGTGAGGATGTGAGAATACCATAGTAGTGTTCCCTTTTCAGTGTATCATATTAGGACTTACAAAATATACATGTTTTATTACTAGTGTTGTTAAGCATCATTACTTCCTTACAGTTTTGTTGGCTACATTTCTCTACTATAAAGTTACTGTTTTTGTCCTTGTATAATTAATAAATGTCTTGAGATAGATACTTTCAGACTACTCAAATATCTTGCTTCTCCTCAAACTTCTGTTTACTCACATTAGCATCTATCAATAGATCTTGCCTGCATTAACGATACTTGATTTTCGTATCTCCCTTCTGCCTTCTATATGTATTAGAACACTTTTTCTTCTTTTTTTATTTTTTATTTTATTTTTTATTATACTTTAAGGTTTAGGGTACATGTGCACAATGTGCAGGTTTGTTACATATGTATACA
Organism: Homo sapiens; assembly: GCF_000001405.40. NCBI lineage: Eukaryota > Metazoa > Chordata > Mammalia > Primates > Hominidae > Homo > Homo sapiens. The sequence continues at coordinate 14,459,356 of NC_000008.11, read as the reverse complement.
TGTGCCATGTTGGTGTGCTGCACCCATTAACTCGTCATTTAACATTAGGTATATCTCCTAATACTATCCCTCCCCCATCCCCCTACCCCACAACAGGCCCCGGTGTGTGGTGTTCCCCTTCCTGTGTCCAAGTGTTCTCATTGTTCAATTCCCACCTATGAGTGAAAACATGCGGTGTTTGGTTTTTTGTCCTCTCGATAGTTTGCTGAGAATGAAGGTTTCCAGCTTCATCCATGTAGAATTATTCATCTATTCCATTATTTATGCAAGTTATAACCAACTAATGGACATTTATGAGTTATAATCCAATACTGTCTTTATTAATTTTGCTGATGAGAGGGTGCCCAGTTTGACAAATGAAATCTCTGTCAAGTTGGCCACTATGTCCTTTTGACATTTCCTTACCTTTTATGAACCTTAATTTCGAGGCTCATCTCATATTTTCCTAACCCTAGGTCTCGATCAGCAACTTCTCCAAGAAGCTCTAGTTTAATGGTGTTGTTTGTTTGTTTGTTTTGAGTTGGAGAATGATACTTTTAAACCAAGAGCTCTGTGTTTGGTGTCCTCATTGCTTCTGGGGTATCATTGCTACTAGGCCCTTTTAGCAGACAGAGCTGGGAAATAGATAGATTATAGGTAGGTAGGTAGGTAGATATATAGATAGATAGATAGAGATACTACTCCATATGTTGCTAGATAGAGATCCTAGTCCACATGTTGCTACACAGCTTTATTTATTTCCTTATCTATGTATTTATCTGTATTTTTAAAACCAAGAGTCCATACTGACAACTCTACTTAGAATCCACCAACATGGTGTTTCTTTTGACTTTCCCTTTTTAAAATTTCTTTCCTCACTATTGAGACACCTAGATCTCATTATCTGTAATACATTCACTTATTTGATTAATCCTAATATACATGTGGTTTCAGCATCACCTACGCATAACCCTGTGAGAAACAACTTTACTTACTGGAGTTCAATATTTGTTTACGGTCATTTTTGTCTTTGGCATTATGATATCCAGTAAAAAGTACTGCTTCCTGAAGTTATTTAGGGTAGTTCACTCTTTTCCCAAATATTTGTGTGCTTACGTTTTTCATTTGTAATATAGCTAGTTTCATTTTTTAAAATATTTGTATTTAATTTTTTATTCCCCACACATTGTGGTTGATTTTATTTATTCATTTTTCAAGTATGTGAACCAGTAATATAGTTCTAAAAGTCATAACTATACAAACACATTGTACTAGTCTTTTCTCACATTGCTAGAAAGAAATGCCTGAGACTGGGTAGTTTAGAAGAAAGGAGGTTTGATTGACCCATGGTTCTACAGGCCCCTGTAGGAACCAGCTCCACAGGGTTGGTGGGTCTCTCCCTGTGCGTGGTGACGAGAGAGTGTAGAAATAAAGACACAAGACAAAGAGACAAGAGGAAAGGCAGCTGGGCCCCGGGGACCACTACCACCAATGCGCGGAGACCGGTAGTGGCCCCGAATGTCTGGCTGCGCTGTTATTTATTGGATACAAGGCAGAAGGGGCAGGGTAAAAAATGTGAGTCACCTCCAATTATAGGTAAGGTCACGTGGGTCACGTGTCCACTGGACAGGGGGCCCTTCTCTGCCTGGCAGCCGAGGCAGAGAGGGAGAGGAGACAAAGAGAAAGACAGCTTACCCCATTATTTCTGCATATCAGGGACTATTTGTATTTTCACTAATTTACTACTGCTATCTGGAAGGCAGAGCCAGGTGTACAGGATGGAACATGAAGGCGGACTAGGAGCGTGACCACTGAAGCACAGCATCACAGGGAGACGGTTAGGCCTCCGGATAACTGCAGGCAAGCCTGACTGATGTCAGGCCCTCCACAAGAGTTGGAGGAGCAGAGTCTTCTCTAAACTCCCCCAGGGAAAGGGAGACCCCCTCTTTTCCCGGTCTGCTAAGTAGCGGGTGTTGTTCCTTGACACCTTTTGCTACCGCTGGACCATGATCCACCTGGTAACAGGCATCTTCCCAGACGCTGGCGTCACCGCTAGACCAAGGAGCCCTCTGGTGGCCCTGTGTGGGCATAACAGAAGGCTCGCACTCTTTTCTAGTTACACCTCACTATGTCCCCTCAGCTCCTATCTCTGTATGGCCTGGTTTTTCCTAGGCTATGATTATAGAGCGAGGATTATCATAATACTGGAATAAAAAGTAATTGCTACAAACTAATGATTAATGATATTCATATATAATCATATCTGAGAGGTATATCTGGTATAACTATTCTTGTTTTATATTTTATTATACTGGAACAGCTCGTGTTCTCTGTCTCTTGCCTCGGTGCCTGGGTGGCTTGTCGCCCACAGCCCCACTGGAAGCATCTGCTTCTGGGAGGCCTCACAAGGCTTACAATCATGGCAGAAGGCAAAGTGAGAACAGCCATGTGACACTGAAAAAGCAAGAGAGAGAGAGTGTGGTTGGAGGGGAGGTACCACGCACTTTTAAACCACCAGATCTTATGAGAACTCAGTCACTATCACAAAGACAGCAGTATGCCACGAGGGATCCACCTCCCTGATCTAAACACCTCCCAACAGGTCCTACCTCCAGCATTGGAGATGACAATTCAACATGAGATTTGGGTGAGGACATATATTCAAACTATATCCCATGTATATTCAGAAAAGTGCGATACAGTTCCTTTTCATTCCAACTGTCCTATATTCATTTCTCCCTTTCTTTTCACTCTTCTCATATATCTCCATCCCCTCAATAGGTAACCAATCTCGTTAAAGTCTGATTTGTCCTCCTTGTGTTTCTTTGGTACAAATGATCAGATACATGCATGTTTTCCTAAGTCCTCTGCTTTCTTTTTCTAAATTTTAATACCTTTATTAGTATTATATGATCTACATGTCATGAACTTTTCCTCTGCAAATTCTATTTATTTATTTTTAATTTTTTGAGATGGAGTTTCACTCTTCTTGCGCAGGCTGGAGTGCAATGGTGCAGTCTTGGCTCTCTGCAACCTCTGCCTCCCGGGTTCAAGTGATTCTCCCGCCTCAGCCCCCCAAGTAGCTGGGATTATAGGCGTGCACCACCACACCCGGCTAATTTTGTATATTTAGTAGAGACAGGGTTTCACTATGTTGGTCAGGATGGTCTCAAACTCCTGACCTCAGGTGATTTGCCTGCCTCAGCTTCCCAAAGTCCTGGGATTACAGGTGTGAGCCACCGTGCGTGTCCTACCTCTGCAAATTCTATACAATTCAGTAGGTTTTGGTGTATTAGCAGAGTTGTGCAAGCGTCACCATGATCTAATTAGAACGTTTTCACCTTCCCCCCAAAATGGCCTTGTAGCCATTTAACAGTCACTCCGCATCCCCTCCCCTCCAACTGTAGGTAACTACAAATCTACTTTAGGTATATAAATGTGACTAATTTGAACATTTCATGTAAATTGAACCATAAACATGTAAACTCCTTTTTCACATGAGAGGTAGCATACTGCAAACACTCTTTTGTACTTTACTTTGTTTTCACAATAATATATCCTACATATGAACCCATGTCAGTCCATAGAGCCTGTCCTCATTCTTGTTTAACACTGCCAAGAACTCTTTTGTGTAAATGTGCCATAATTTATTCAACCACTTTCCTAAGTATGGTCATTTGCATTGCCTCTAATATTTTGTGATTGCAAATAAAACACAAATGATCTGATGCATATATATTTCCATATTATTGGGGTATGCTTTTAAAGTAGATTACTAGAAGTGGGATTCCAGGTCAGAAAGCAAGAATGGAGATCGATCTATCTATCTACCTAATCTGTCTGTGTATTATCTATCTATTGAAAGGAAAGAGAAGTGTGTATATGCGTGTGTGTGTGTGTGTGTGTGTGTGTGTGTGTGTGTATGCATGCAAATGTCCCTTCAACACTTTGAGGCTGATGATCATTTCTACCAGCAATATGTGAGAGGGCCTGTTTATCCAGACTCACCAACTAGGACAGTTTAAATTTTTGCCTATATAATAAATAGAAAACAGTACCTTAGTTATGTTTTAAATTACATTTCCTTAACTATGATTTTTTACTTTTTTACCTGTTTGAAGTTCATTTTGAAATATTAATTTATAAATTGTCTGATCATGTTTGGTTTTCCATTTTTTCTATGTAAGCTTTACTACTCTGTCCCTTAACTTTTATGAATTCCCTATATAGTGGGAATATTAGCCCTTCAACCATGGTATATGTTACATATATTTTCTCCCTCTTATTAAGTTATTTCTGACTGCTCTTGTGGTGTTTTTGGCATGCATTTTTAAAAGATTTGTGTAGTCAGATGTGTTAATCTTCTATTTGATTGCTTCTGTGTTTGAGTTATCCGTAGGAATACTTTTCCTACACCAACTTCAAAGACAAATCTACCCATCTCTTCTCCTAGCACTTGTATGATTTCATTTTTACATGTATATGCCTAATCCATTTGGAGTTTATTGTCGTGTATGATGTTAGATGTATATTTAACCTTAATATTTTTAAATGGCTACTTAGTTGCTCCAGCACCCTCCGTTAAAAGCTCCTCTTTATGTTAGTGATTTGAAATGTCACTTATCCTTTATACAAAGGTACATTTGCACATGAGTCTTCTTAGAGACTTCCCATTCTATTTCACTGGTCTATTTCTGTATCAATACCATGCTAATTTTATTATACAAATTGATTTGTTTTTACCTTTTAGGGCAAATTTTCCTTCACATATTTCTTTTACAGTGTTTTTGAGCTACTCGTATCTGTTTTTACGTATGAACTTTACTATCTACTTTTTTTAACTCCCTAATATAGATTATTGGTATTTTACTGGTATTGGTCTTAATTCATTAAATGAATTAAATGTTAACTTCATTTATCTAACGGATGAGAAGAGGCACAATTAAGAAATGACTATCAAATATTTTCAGTGAAGGTTTTTTCCTGAACTAAATACAGTTTGTTAGAAGTGTTTAACCTCAGCAGGATTAAGGTAGCATGTTTCCCGTGTTGGCTTCATTTACAGTAATGAAGTCTTCCCAGTTCCTAAAGTCCAGATTTGTTTTGCTTTTAAATGCTCCACTACCCAAAATGAGATTCTCCTACTGGTAAAGCAGACCAATCAACCTTCTTAACCTACATATTAGAAATCCTGCCACCATACCTTGGCTCTTACTATCTGACACAGAATATCTGAAGGTGCATTAAGGCCATCCAGAGTTTAAGGAAATGGCCATTCCCCAAATTCTTGCTGCGGACGTCATCGTAGATAGCAACTGGAAGGTCAATATCCTTTTGGGGTAGTGTCTGTTCACAAAGATTCATTAAAAACAATTATTTTTTTTTTGTGTCACTGTCATTAATGTGTAAATAACCAAGTACAATATAAGAATATTTCTGGTAATTTATGTTAAATCATTTTGACACTCAGAATGTCAAATCAAGAGAAAATAATTTTAGGAGACAGTTCTGTATTTAAAGCTCTGTGTATTTAAGAATCACTCTTTTTAAAAACTGACAGAATTTTTGGAAACCATTTAGAAAACCATTGCAAAGTAGATTTTTGAATGAAAGTAGTCTTGTGACATTTCTGAACATTGTTAAAGATGAGAACATTCTCGCTTTTGCCCAAACTGAAAAATCTGTAGGGATTAGCATGCTGCTTAAATTCTGAATTTTGACTAAGAATGTAAAGCAGGTAATATTTGCAGTTTCCCTCCTAAGATTCTTTCTTCTGTTACCACCTTCAATCATTTTCTTACTGGGGGACCGATAAGAAGACTGACAATTTGGGCTTCTTTTTCTTCTCCCTGCAGGCAGATTTTATGTCAATCTTTTAGTTTTGGAATCCAACTTATTTGTAAATAATGTGTTATGAGACACTTAGTACCCAAACAAGAAAAAGACAAAATAAACAAAAATGTCTTGTTGTTCAAATTCTCGTTTATGGGAAATTGATTATTTCAATTGCAAATATTCCAGAAAGTAATAAGGAAGTTTTTTCCTGAAAAGAAATTATTGACTTTAAATAAACTTTAATTAGAGTGCATAATGTATCTTAATGTTAGACAGAGCTTCAGACATAGGCTGCTCACAATGAAGACGAATAGAAAATTTTTATGTTTACAAACCATCTTTAAAGTTAAACCACTTATAAAAATATATACATGTCCAGGATGTATATAATGTATATAACATATTTACTGAGAATCATTATTATTATTATTTTTTGAGACCAAGTCTTGCTCTGTCACCCAGGCTAGAGTTCAGTGGTACCATCTCATCTCGGCTCCCTGCAGCCTCTGCCTCCTGGGTTCAAGCGATTCTTGTGCCTCAGCCTCCCGAGTAGCTGGGATTACAGGTGTGTGCTATCACACCCAGCTAATTTTTGTATTTTTGGTAGAGACTGGGTTTCACCATGTTGACGAAGCTGGTCTCAAACTCCTGATCTCAAATGATCCAGCTGTCTCAGCCTCCCAAGGTGCTGGGATTTGTACAGGCGTGAGTCCACACCCGGCCCCTTACTCTTCTTTTTATACGGAATGTTTCATGCTTCCTGCCTTTTGAATTAATTTTATTTTTAACAGAATATTTTGATTGAAAGCAAATTTGAACACAAAAAGAGTTCCAATATACACCCTATCTCCCGGCCTCCACATAAAACCTCTCCCTTTACCAGAGTTGTACATTTGTTACAATCAGTGAACATGCCATGGAACATCATAACCACCCAAAATAAAATCTTTGTGTTTACAAACCATCTTTAAAGATAAAACTACTTAAAAAGTATATGCATGCCCAGGATGTATATATTTACTGAGAGTCATTATTTTATTATTATTATTATTATTTTTTTGAGATCGAGTCTTGCTCTGTCACCCAGGCTGGAGTTTACATTAATATTCACTCTTGGAATTGCACATTCTTTGAGTTAGGACAAGTATATCATGACATGTATCCACCGTTACGATATCACACAGAATAATTTTACTGTCCTGGAAATCCACTGTGCCCTTCCTGTTAATTCGTCCCTCCCCTCACCCCCCGACAGTGACTAATCTTACTTTTTCCATAGTTTTGCTTTTCCCAGAATGTCATATAGTTGAAATCATATAGTATGTAATCTTTGTCAGATTGACTTCTTTAACTTAGTAGAAGTTGTCTCCGTTTCATTTCATGGCTTATTTCTTTTTAGTGTTGAATAACATTCCATTGTTTGGATGTGTCCCTGTGTATCCACTCATCTACTGAAGGACATCTTGATTATTTCCAAGTTTTGGCAAATGTGAATAAAGCTGTTATAAGTATCCATGTGCATGATTTTATGTAGGCATAAGTTTTCAATACATTTGTATAAATAACAAGGAGTATGATTGCTGGATCGTAAACTGACTATGTTTAGTTTTGTAAGAAACTATTAAACTACCTTTCAACATGGCTGCACCACTTTGAATTTCCACCAGGAATCAATGAGAGTTTCTGTTGTTCCATGTCTTCACCAGTATTTGGGGTTGTCAGTGTTCTGGACTTTGGCCATTCTAATAAGATGTAACTTGTTTTAATTTGCATTTTATTAAATGATATACAATGTTGGACATTTTTTATATGCTTACTTGCCACTTGTATATCATGCAGTGTGCAATGTGTATTAAGACCTTTTGCCCATTTTTAAAATCAGGTTGTTCATTTACTTAGCATAGAGTTTTAAGAGTTTGTCGTATATTTTGAATAGCAGTCCTTTATCAGATCTGTCTTTTGCAAATACTTTCTCCCAGTTTGTGGCTTGTATTCTCAATCTCTTGATTTTGTCTCTTTTTAAAACTAAAGAACAGGCCATCATTATTCGGTTCCACATTTAAAATGAAAAGGTAGCCTTCTCAAACATAAGCAAAAATGTAAACTATAAGGAGACCGTCTGTTTCTTAGTTTAATGAAATTTCCACTCAGTAACACTGTACCCTGAAATAAGATTGGATTTCACTGCTAACAATAGATTGATGACAGACTGCATCTTTTCTATTCTAAGATCACTGAACCTTCATGATATAAATTTTCATCAAAAATGAACGTAGGACAGAAAAATAAAGAACATAAAGGTAGCTACATTTCCTACAGAGTCTATTTTTGTTTTCATCACTCTTCAAATGGTTTACGGTTAGCAGAAAAGAGAGAGGCTGGTTTATATATCCCTGAATACTTTAAAGGAAACCCTGCTTTTAACGTGTAAGGTGAGATGAATAATTTCCTAACTATGAAATTGCTAACTGGTTTTGACCTTGGGGACCACTTAAAACAAGTACCCTCTGCTCTCCTGGTGGTTTTGGAGCAAAGCAGCTGTATTTTGCACAGCACATTGAATCATAATGGGCCATGTGCTGTTATGAATATTCATAAATCTACCATATTCTGTCTGCCCCAAGATGATTTCAGTGGATGTTGCTAGAGGGATTTGAAATACCACTTTTGTAGTATCCTTGAAGAGAATACACATATCAGGAAAAATAGAGCTGAAGCCCAGGTAATTCTGTCCTTAGTGTGTACTTCAGAGCTCTCCTCCAAATGATTTTGCCCTGTAGCAATGGCACAGAAATCCATCATAATGACAGAGATGAGAGCTTTAAACTTTCTAAGAATCTTAAAATAGGTTAAATTAAAATCTAAGTGGTCACTATGGTATGGTTTTACTGACTGGCACACATCCTCATACTTTTTTTAAAAAATTGGTCTGATTCTATAAAATAGCAGTGATCACTGGAGGTTGTGATTTCCAGATGATACATTTAACTAAAATTATAGCTACTTTAAAATTATTACCAAAGGTACTGGAACACTCTCGATAAGGCATATGACTGTACTTCAACACAGACATTTTCTCTTACACTTTCAAGTTAATTCAATACTGCTCATTACCCTCCTGACCCTTTATGTTGGGCTGTGCTGACTATAAAGCCAATTTCTACATTTCATTCTGTTAATTCTCCTGTGGAGGCTGAAATGAAACACGTATATGCATACCGCAATACTTGCAGGATTAGGAATTCATGAGAGTGTTTTTGTAGAAAGAATCACGATGCTTGGTTGTGAAATGAATTGCACTCACTGACAGAGAATTAAGTTGTCAGTAGAGACCCTCGTTGAGGGTTTGGGTTCTGTGTAGCCTGGCTTCATCACACAGCCATGGCCTTATGGGACATTCACGATGGCATCTCTGTCTAAAAGGATTGGCAGATTTTTGTTTTCTTTCTGGTTTAATGAATATGTTGAATATGTAGTTTTGTTTTCATTTTCACTTTCACAGTTTTTTTCTCTTCTGTAAAAGAGTTCTGGATCATATTACATTGCATTATATTAAATATATGCACCATTATATGCTACATTGTATTCTTCACATTATATTGTCTATATTGTTAAGTTTTGTACATGATGTTGTTCACTCTTACTTTGTTTACGATGGTGAAGAAGGTTGTGGGGTGAATCCAATACTAATTCATCTCAGTTGCAGTTCTTGGACCTTCCATTACATCAGGTACTTTGTTCCCAAAGCCAAAAGAGTAGAGGTGTTCTCAGTTTAAGCCTAGAATATGGCCACAATTAGCATCTGGTCAACTGCAGAAATGGAAGACAAAAATTTACTTTAATGCATGAAGAGTATCTTTGAGGGTGAAAGGCCAAGCGGGGTCTATCTTTAGATCTACTTACAAGGCTTCCTATGAGGATGCTTCATACTGTGGAGGGACGATGGAGGGAGTAGAGGGGACACAGACTCAATGAACTGACCTAGATATAAAGCCTTAGTATATCCAGCTAGGAATAGTAATTCTGAGGACACATTGGAACATGATTATGTCATTAAGTGTATGGTAGCAATGGGCATGATAGAAGTACAAACTGAAGGCATGCTTTCATCCCACCCCAAAATCAGTCAAATATTGGGACACAAATGATCCAGGTCTAGAAAAGTCATGTGCCACAGCCATGGTATTGCACATCATTCATCTTGTATTTTTGAGAATAAGTGGACAAGTAAATAGTACTGGAGTGGAAAGCTTTGTCCAGGCCAATGTGAACCCAATGTTTTGTTTAGAAATAGAACAAGTAAGTTCATTACTATAGCATAACATGAAATTTGCCTAAGTTGTGGTCAGAAAACCCTTGAATGCTGCTTAATGTGATAAGGTTGGTAAAATCATTTGTACAGCACAATTCCTCCCCGAATGTTTTGCTATGCCTGGGCTGCAGGGACTTGCTGGCAGGACTTGTTTTGCATCCTGAAGAGCCAAGGAGGCATCAGAGCATAAGTCCTTTCACTTCTATCTGTTTGTCTGGAATGTAACTTGTGTTTGCACAGTAAATAAAATTGATCTTGAATAAAAACTGAGTGGTCATTCTCATTAATCTTTGGACCCAGATTAACTTTTTTGGTCATGCCTAGTCTAAGAGGGAAGAGATATTCTCATCAACAAGTACAGCGCCCAGCTATGTCAGTGTAGATATCAAATGTATATATAGTAGTATAGGGAAGAGTCAGAGGCCAGAAAGACTGGTAGGGCAGACGTTGAACTGAGGAGAGTGTGGTGTTTGCCTTTGCATCAACGGCGATCATGGAGTTATACTGAGGCTTGGGAACAGCACCTAACATACTAAGAAAACATTCTAAGAACATTTATGAACTGAGGAAACTTGAATTACTGTTGTTCTTTGGTTATGATTGTATTTATGGTTGTTACCTCATTCATATTAATAGTCGGTGTGCCTGAGTGTAATCATGAAGTTAGGTTTTTCCCAAATAGATGATTTTTGTTATTTGACTCAGCAATTCCCATAGACAAAAGTAATATCACTATCCTATTTTTACATTTCTGCTCTCAATTCTGCAAAGCCAAAATGCATAGTCCAGGATTCTGTGCAGTAAAGTGTGGCTTGTATTATCTAACTGGTGCATGAGGCCCACTGTAACAGTTTACTCCAGAGGAAATTGGCACCTGTAAATAACTGTAGTTAAATTGATCTCTTGATATCAGAAAAGTTTCTGCCATGCAGTTCGTTTTGATGATTTCTTAATATGTATCCTCATTTTAGACGGTACCAGTGGCCACGTACAAGCTGTACTTGGTAGCAGAATATTGCAGTTGGTAAACCTTGAATCTCTCTTTTAGTAGCAAGAGCGTTTAGAGTCTTGTGCTTTCTTGTGGATATCTTCTTAGCATCTACATTCCATCTCCTGTCTCCTAATTGTTACTGCTACTATTTCGATGAAAATTCCAATTTTCATTTAGAATACACATTTTTGTTATTTGTATCATTTTTTCACCCCGATTTCAGACTATTTTAACTTCAGAAAGGAAATTCACCACTATGTACATTTCCGTTTGGGCTCTTAGAGCTTGAGATGGTACAAGTAAGTACAAGCACATTTTCCATATAAGTCATATGAGGTGATTTGCATTTCATAATGTGATTTTGTCTGAATGAACTTGTGCATTATGACATCTCAAAGAGATGGCTGTAAAGGATTAAGAAGATCAAACAATGCAAAGTCATTTATTGCATGTACTTCAAAGCATTGCCGAGATAAAGCCAGATGGAGTCTTTCATTCCACTGGCTACTTATTTTCTTGCTGCAGTACCAAATACTGTCATTTAAAAAATAATGACTCTGGTTTTTCTAATTCATCCTTCATTGTGGATCATGCAAGTAAATAATTAATGAATGTATGTGTTTAGGTTATGGGGAGTTTAAAGCACAGCGTAAGAGTTGTAATGTTGATTGCTTTTAAATGTTGTAATGCTTTTGAGGGTGTCTCCTACTGACTCCTTAATTACATACTTGTTTTTCTTAGAAAATCAACTCATTTCATTATTAGTGATTTAATTTTCTCTTAAATATTTAACTTGGTATTTTAATAAATCACTATGCCTGGGATTCCATTAGATGTTTGGAAAGATTAAGTTGAATTTTTTACCCAAGTAACATATTAAAATGGCTCAAGATTTGTATTTTTTTGATTTCATAATTAAATAAAAAAACATGCATTAAACACCATGGAAATCCCAGCAACTTTAGCAAGAAAAGATCTTGGTTTGACTGATGACTTCTTTACTTGATAAATGTGTGAACTGCAATAAACAGAATATCTCAATCTCAGTTTTTGTTCCATGAGACTGGTTGAGTGAACATAAGCTTAGTGCTTTGAAAATTGTTTGGCCTATTGTAGAAGGTTGGTGTTTTAATTGACTAAAGAAAATTCATGTACTCTAAGAACATATATTTTCTGGAAAATGTGGTATTTCTCGGAAAACTGCTGAAATGAATTATGCATCTTTGCTATTTTCATGTTTATATTACTTTCAAAGATCTAAAGCTTTTGCTTGAAAGTTAATCTTTTGGTAAAATATATTGAAACTAGTGTTGAATTATATTTCGTTGGTGTAATGAATATGAAGATTGATCTGCTATAATCTCCTCGTGATCTTTTAAAATAGTTTTCTTTGTGCTTTTAAAAATAACACTATAATGGTCCATATACGTATTAGTTTTTACTATCCATTTGTTTAGTACTTTAGTATATACCAGGGTGCATGAAGACTCAATTACAGTCTGAATCAGCACAATGCAAATGGAAAGGTGAGCTTTTATCTTCCTCACAAAATTATATCTAATATAAACCTTATACAGGATTTTTAAGTGCATATAAATTAATGACAAAATTGTACATAATGTCATTGAAGGAGAAAAGTTAAGCATTTTGTAGCACAGTAAAATGCCTTTCTAAATTGACTTAGTATTGTTATGGAAAACAAACTTCTGAATATTGTATCAGAATTTATTACCACTCTTCAAGTCAAAATAGAAATGAATCTCTATACAATTTATTTGGGAATCAGAGAATTGTCATTTGGAACAAAGTTGCCAACCAGGGTGGTCTTTGATATATCAGACCCACAAAGAGAAGATTGGGAGTTTATTAGAAACAGAAATGTTACATATTGTTTTGAAAGAAAGCTCACTGACACTAGAGAAGATTTTGGGAGCTGGTAAGCTTTGGTGAGTGACAGCAGTAGGTAAAACCAGTGTTAGAGTCACAGCAGGTCACTTCAGTAGCTACTAGGTAGATTTGGTCTTAGGGATACAGCAGGCTGCTTCAGCAGCTGGGCTTGCTGAAGATTCAGTTATTGGAGCTGGTGGTATATATGCCTGAGTGCTTTTTCTCCCTGACTTATTGACTATGACTTACTTGGGTACGAAAAAATGGCACAACTGATTCAGGATTTTTCTTGTCCCCTTCTTCAGACTCATGACAGGGACAAACTTTTACTTGTCTCGCTTCACTCAACCCCTTGCAGGAGGGAGCACATCAGCAAATGTGTGTGGGATCTGGCCAGCCACTCCAGGATCCAGCAGGAGCAAGCTTCATGTGGGGCTGATGGCCAGATCAGGCATGAGTTAGTGAGTGCAGGATCCAGCTGGCAGCTCTGGGCACCAGCAGGAGCAAGATCTGTGTGGAACCCATGGCTAGAACCAGAGGGAGTATTCCATTACTCTCCTAACTCCACTGTCTGCAGACTAACAGCTCAGTTGACCCCTTGCCACATCACCTGGGGAGGCTGCCCTCTGCCAGTGACCATGAATAGTTGGTGTGATAGCATTTTTGGGTACCCACAGTCAATGTGTCCTGAGCTCTTGTTCGATGTCCAAGGATAATGAGGTGGCATGGGATTCTCAAAGGGTGGTAATGGGGGAGAATTTTGTTGAGTGGTGGAAATGGTTTTCAGTGGAGAGGGCAGCTGGAGAAGGGGGCAGGTGGGGTAAGTAGTGTTCCCCAAAGTCAGGTCATCTTCTCCTTAAAGTCCAGTCACCACTTCCTCAAAGTTAAATCATCCCTCTTCCCCAGAGTCCAGGTGTCTCTCCTCTGAAGTCAAGCTGTCTCTTCCCTCTACCAAGTGAGTCTGGGGTCTTTATAGGCAAAGGATAGGTGTGGGTTAGGCCTTAGGTAGTTTTGGAAAAGGCAACATTCGATTAGTAAAAATACATTGTTTAGAATGAACCAACTGGGAGAGAGAAGGCAAAGAGGAATAGAAGTTACCACTTTGGGCTGCGAGTTTCAGGCTACTTTGGCTTGAAGGTGGAGTTTTACTGGGGACCCGTCCTAATCTGCCTAGGCATTTGTCTACCTCCTGCCACTCTCACAATTAATATAATCACCTTTCACATTTCTCCCTTTGGATCAAGATATTTCTCTGAAAGCATCACCACTGAGCAACTGTCTTGAAGTCAAGCTTAATTGGCCTTAGGTGCTGAGATGGACCTATCCTAGTGGTCTCTGGTCCTACATCAGGGGAAAGTAATGGAGTCAGTGAAGCGTCTTGGGCCAAATTTGAGTAACAAAGAGGCCAGAAGGAAATTTTTTTCAGAGCAGGTTTGTTTGGAATCCAGCGTTGAGTTTTATTAGTCCCACAGGTATTAACAGTCATTTCAAAACTTTGATCTAAGAGCTGGCTTCATTTATTTTATTTTATTTCATTATTATTATACTTTAAGTTTTAGGGTACATGTGCCCAATATGCCGGTTAGTTACATATGTATACATGTGCCATGCGGGTGTGCTGCACCCATTAACTCGTCATTTAGCATTAGGTATATCTCCTAAAGCTATCCCTCCCCCATCCCCCCACCCCACAACAGTCCCCATAGTGTGATGTTCCCCTTCCTGTGTCCATGTGTTCTCATTTTTCAATTCCCACCTGTGAGTGAGAATATGTGGTGTTTGGTTTTTTGTTCTTACGATAGTTTACTGAGAATGATGATTTCCAATTTCATCCATGTTCCTACAAAGGACATGAACTCATCATTTTTTATGGCTGCATAGTATTCCATGGTGTATATGTGCCACATTTTCTTGATCCAGTCTATCATTGTTGGACATTTGGATTGGTTCCAAGTCTTTGCTATGGTGAATAGTGCCGCAATAAACATACGTGTGCATGTGTCTTTATAGCAGCATGATTTATAGCCCTTTGGGTATATACCCAGTAATGGAAAGGCTGGGATAAATGGTATTTCTAGTTCTAGATCCCTGAGGAATCGCCACACTGACTTCCACAATGGTTGAACTAGTTTACAGTCCCACCAACAGTGTAAAAGTGTTCCTATTTCTCCACAACCTCTCCAGCACCTGTTGTTTCCTGACTTTTTAATGATCGCCATTCTAACTAGTGTGAGATGGTATCTCATTGTGGTTTTGATTTGCATTTCTCTGATGGCCAGTGATGATGAGCATTTTTTCATGTGTCTTTTGGCTGCATAAATGTCTTCTTTTGAGAAGCGTCTGTTCATATCCTTCACCCACTTTTTGATGGGGTTGTTTGTTTGTTTCTTGTAAATTTGTTTGAGTTCATTGTAGATTCTGGATATTAGCCCTTTGTCAGATGAGTAGGTTGCAAAAATTTTCTCCCATTCTGTAGGTTGCCTGTTCACTCTGATGTTAGTTTCTTTTGCTGTGCAGAAGCTCTTTAGTTTAATTAGATCCCATTTGTCAATTTTGTCTTTTGTTGCCATGGCTTTTGGTGTTTTAGACATGAAGTCCTTGCCTATGCCTATGTCCTGAATGGTAATGCCTAGGTTTTCTTCTAGGATTTTTATGGTTTTAGGTCTAACGTTTCAGTCTTTAATCCATCTTGAATTAATTTTTATATAAGGTGTAAGGAAGGGATCCAGTTTCAGCTTTCTACATATGGCTAGCCAGTTTTCCCAGCACCATTTCTTAAATAGGAAATCCTTTCCCCATTGCTTGTTTTTCTCAGGTTTGTCAAAGATCAGATAGTTGTAGATATGCGGTGTTATTTCTGAGGGCTCTGTTCTGTTCCATTGATCTATATCTCTGTTTTGGTACCAGTACCATGCTGTTTTGGTTACTGTAGCCTTGTAGTATAGTTTGAAGTCAGGTAGTGTGATGCCTCCAGCTTTGTCCTTTTGGCTTAGGATTGACTTGGCGATGCGGGCTCTTTTTTGGTTCCATATGAACTTTAAAGTCGTTTTTTCCAATTCTGTGAAGAAAGTCACTGGTAGCTTGATGGGGATGGCATTGAATCTATAAATTACCTTGGGCAGTATGGCCATTTTCACAATATTGATTCTTCCTACCCATGAGCATGGAATATTCTTCCATTTGTTTCTATCGTCTTTTATTTCCTTGAGCAGTGGTTTGTGGTTCTCCTTGAAGAGGTCCTTCATGTCCCTTGTAAGTTGGATTCCTAGGTATTTTATTTTCTTTGAAGCAATTGTGAATGGGAGTTCACTCATGATTTGGCTCTCTGTTTGGCTGTTATTGGTTTATAAGAATGCTTGTGATTTTTGTACATTGATTTTGTATCCTGAGACTTTGCTGAAGTTGCTTATCAGCTTAAGGAGATTTTGGGCTGAGACGATGGGGTTTTCTAGATATACAATCATGTCATCTGCAAACAGGCTTCATTAAGATTAGACAGACAATAATAACAGAGCTTAAAGATAATGATACAAAAAATAATTAACAACAATAAAACAAATTTAGTTTGTGCAGTGGCTTTGAATGAAGAGCCAAAACCTAAGGTCAATCAATGAAACAAATCAGAAGATGTTGGAGAAACTGGGTGAGACTTACTGTAGTCATTAACTAGCATTTTATCACTGAGATCACTGGGTTGGATTAAAGCAGAAAGTATCAACTCTATATAAGGGACCATTAGCATAATTTGAACAAAACTTTGTTACATATTGTCAAACTTACCCACCAGGTGAATTTAATTTTATTTTAGTGTCAGGTACTGTCAAGTAAGAAACATAGGCATTAAGAAGGGTGTATTAGTTTGTTTTCATGCTGCTATTAAAGACATACCTGATACTGGGTAATTTATAAAGAAAAAGAGACTTAATGGACTCACAGTTCCACATGGCTGAAGAGGCTTCACAATCATGGTGGAAGGTAAAGGAGGAGCAAAGTCACTTCTTACATGGCAGCAGGCAAGAGAGTGTGTGCAAGGGAACTCCCTTTTATAAAACCATCAGATCTCATGATACTTATTCATTATCACGAGAATATCACGGGCAAGACCGGATCTCATGATTCAATTACCTGCCACCAGGTACCTCCCATGACACATGGGAATTTTGTGAGCTACAATCTGAGATTTGGGTAGTGACACAGCCAAACCATATCAAGGGGGAAGAGTTTTATTATGAAGTTTCAGTGATCTCAGGAAAAGCTATTTATAGCATGAAGTCAGCAATTTGTAATTCGAATGTCTCTGGTTATGGCCTTGGGCAGTTTACTCAGTGTTATCCCCAGCAGGGGAATGTATGGCTTTCAGAAAAAGTAAGAGAATATGAAATGGCCTGGTTACATAGAACAATTTAGATACGTCAGAAAAGCCAAGAGTAAAGAATTACATCATACTGGAAAAACATTTTTCTCCCAGGCCTTTAAGACAAACATTCTCAGTGTCAGGTCAGAATACCAGAGTCAGAGGTGGGGTTAAAAAAAGCTATAGAAACTGACAAAAAAGTTAAAGGAGAAAGTCACCACTTGAGTTAAGCAAAATGATGTACCGTTTTAAGGAGAGAAGTAAGAAGAGCACAAGTCATTGATGTATTAACTGCAAATTACATGTGGTGAGATGCGTACAAAGCCAAACCCTTGAGATATGAATCTGAAAAGCCTTGAGAGGAGAACTCTAACTCCAGAAATGAAATGATCATTTTATCTTTTATTTTATTTTGTTTTATTTTTGAGATGGGGTCTTGCTCTATCACCAGGCTGGAGTGCAGTGACGTGATCTTGGCTTACTGCAACCTCCACCTCCCAGGTTCAAGTGATGTTCCTGCCTTAGCCTCCTGAGTAGTTGGGATTACCCGTGCGTGCCACCACGCCCAACTAATTTTTGTATTTTCAGTAGAGACGGGGTTTCACCATGTTGGACAGGATGGCCTCAATCTCTTGACCTCGTGATCCACCTGTCTTGGCCTCCCAAAGTGCTGGGATTACGGGCGTGAGCCACTGTCCCCGGCCAAAATGATTGTTTTAAATGAAGGAGACAGCACCTACAACTGGAAATTAGGTAGAAACTAAAAAGAGGAAAATCTGTAATTTGGGAGATGATTTAAAGTTTACAGAAACAAGTTTTCAAATTAAAATAAAAACTGATTGTAAATTTTTTACTAAGAGCAGATGAATATTGGAAGAAAATCTTGGAGTTTTAAGCATAGAGGACCAGACTTCGGTCCTGTATCAGTGCACCCCTGAAGTGACTGCTTAATTTTTAGAAAAAAATGATAAATCATACTTCTTCAATCTCAGTCAACGCAATCACACACAAAACCCCCTTTTCAAAGCCTATCCTTCATAAAGTCTCCATGACTTTCTTAGACTTACTAACAGGAGATCTAATGAAATTTACGTAAACCCCTAGTCTTACTCATGTATGTGTGTGCGTGTGTGTGTGTGTGTGTGTACATATATGTACACATATATGTATGTATATATGCATGTGTATACACATATATACATATACGTGTATACGTATGTATATACATATATACATATACGTGTATACGTATGTATATACATATATACATATACGTGTATACGTATGTATATACATATATACATATACGTGTATACGTATGTATATACATACAGACACATATATACATGTATATGAACAATCATTTTGCCTTTATATTTTTGGACAATTATTTAACAATTTTAACAATTACACATAGGTGACTTATGAAAATAGAGATATTAGATGAAGCTAGTGATGATTTTATTTTTCTCTTAAAATAAAATAAAAACCTAAGAGTTAAATTGTTGTGGTAAACACACAGGAAACGATGGAAACTTCATTGTGTTCTGGCCAACAAACCCAGGCGGAAAAAAGTGTGACAAAATGTAATAATGTTGAAGACCACTTTATTTTTGTTTTATCACCAAATTCAAAATTAACTTATTTATCTAAGATTTCCTTAAGCTACATGAACAAAGAAGTGAATTATTTAGCATATTTTTAAGAAAATATTTTGTTGAAGCACTTAATTTTTCCCAAGTCAAATAGAGCTCTTTTATATCTTTTGATAGAAAAATATCATATATCTATGACATATAGGCAAAAAATTTTAAAAAATTCTTGGGCAAACAAAAACAAACACCTTGTAGTTTTTATCAAAAAATGAGACATGAGTAAAATAAAGTAATATACATTCACTGGCTTATAAGAACACAGTTGGACCTAAATCATATTTATGGCAAAATGCAACAAGGCTAAATGTTTTTAAGGTTAAATTTATGAGGCTAATTTTTTTTTTTAGTTAAAATTTTTTTTGTCCCTAATATGTAATCTCAAGAAGTCCGTGAACCAAATATTAGGGAAAGCAGTTTAAGTCAGTTACCAATATAATGGATTGGACACAGAATAGTTAACTGTGAAAATGTGACTGAATTATGTGAGGAGGCCCAAAAGATGAGAAAGCAGTGTTTCATCATTAAGCATAATATAAGTTCCAGGCTTCCTATAGATACTGTTTATCATGGTAAGGTAGTTCCCCTCAATTTCTGTTTCCTAAGAGTTATTACCACAAATTTGTGTTAATTTGTCAATTTTATTCTCTATCAGTTCATATGATAATGTAATTTTTCTTCTTTGGTTTATACTACGGATTATATTGATTGATTTTTTTAATATGGAGCTAAGCTTGCATTCATGGAAACCTCCCTGTTTATTAATGGTGAATGTCTTTTATATATTACGAATTCCCTTTGCTAATATTTTGGGAAAGATTGTTGGGTCTGTACTTATGAGGAATATTGATATGTGTTTTCTGTTTTTGTACTGTCTTGGTCTGATTTTGGCATCTGAGTAATATTAAATTTATAAAATTGGGGAATGTTTACTCTTGTATTTTCTAGTAGAAATTGTGTAAAATTTGTTAATTGTTTTAATGTTTGATAGAAATTTCCAGAAAATCCATGAGGAGATATATATATATATATATATTTCTTTCTTCTATATATTTTCTTTAATCAAGGGACTGTTAGCAACAATACCAAGCCAAAAACTCCTAAAAATATAATAAAAAGTCCTAATGATCTTACAAAAAATCCTAAGTCAGTATTTTTAAATGCATTTTCTTACTACAAATAATTCTTCCCTTTAACAAATGTATCACGGTCAAAGGCAGAGCCCATAGGGGAATCGAATCTTTTCCTCCTTGATGTTATCAAGAAGCTAATATTGCCACTAGGCAGGGTTAGTACTTGGCATCTGTAATAAACCTTTGCAGAGGAAGCTTCGTGAAAGATCCTGCATTATAATCATCTCATGTCTTCAAAGATTTACAAAAATTATTTTTGAATTCTAAAGGTGTTTTAAAAAGGAAAACAGAATACTTCTCTTACAAGATCATTATAATATACTCTCTGTCATTTAAAAGAATGTTATTTTCCTTGAAAATGACAGGCTAATAGGGCTTTGAGTCGAAGAATATGATGTTAAGGTATAATTAAAATTATCATGGTTTTCTATTTATTAATTAATATAATGTTACAGTGATATTTTAAGCTATTTCTCAGATTTAAAAAAATTAAAATTAAGTATTACTGAAAAATCTTATTTTAGCCTCATGAAATATCTGATGGGATACTGGTTTACATTTTAATACAAAATTTATCCAAATTATTCAACAGTAATTTCCATTACAAATCAATTTTTCTTTCCTAATTCCCTCTAGGAACACTTTTTATGCTTTTTCATGGTGTTTGACTCCATAGGTTCTCCAAGCATGTACAAGTCTAGAATAGAATTGAATAGAGAGAGCCACAGTTATTGAACTCTTCAGTTAGTAAGGCATAATATTAATTTTCTCTCCCTAGAAAATTAATAATAAGTATCATAATTTGGGTGTGAAAACAAAGAGTGAATTATGACGTCTAAGACCAACATGTCTAAAGATTTCCATTTCAGAAAATGTGTGTAATACTTATAATTTGTGATAAATACACTCTATTGACCTTTTTCTTCTAAAATTATGAATATATAAAATAAGAGAATTCCATGATTCCTTTTAGAACTTAATCATCTAGAACTGATTCTTAGTGATTAAGCAGGTATAAACTTCTCATCCACCTTATTTTTACAACATGCTAAAGTTTGAAATTAACAGCTATTGTGTTCCTTTAGAATCTTTGGTAATATTATTCAGCGTTGGCTCTAAAATACCCATCAATTATATGATAGGAAAGATTTATTTACCATGCGTAACCATTTGAGAAAGTAGTTTATGGCTTAATGATTCTAAATTACAATGCTCATAAAATTTCTCGGAGGCTATTTGAATAAATTCTAGATTTTATATGCCAAACTATTTACAACACAAATCGGTAATCATCTAGCTTTACATCTATGAAATAGGTCAGTGATTTTTGAGATATTACTTCATATGATATTATACAAAAGCCACAAATCCTTATATTAAAATTATAAATTTTTATTAAATGCATGAAATGTTGAATGCACAAAATGTAAAAATAAAATTACACTTATTTTTAGTCAGGCAACAATAAAAATTTTAATACAATATTATATGAAATATAAATTTTTATTTATCAATTCTAAACATGATGGTCTCAGGTCCCTTTTGAAGTCTTTAATGTTATTGAGGATTCTGAAGAACTTTTGCTTATGCTCTTTGATATTTATTAAAAATTAAAACAGAAAATTTTTCTTTGTTGAAAAATAATAGTAAACCCAGTAAATACTAACATAAATAACCTATTTTATGAAAAATGTATTGCTTGAAAATATTGACTCAGAAGAACGTTACTGTTTTTCAGTTTGCAGATTTCTTTAATGTATGCTTAATAGATGACACATTTGTTTCTATTGCAATATGATGTTTTGTTTGAAGTGTTTGAAGAAAGTTGGAAAAGGAAGGAATGGCTTTCAGATAATTGTGGATATTCTGTGATACTACAGCAAAACTTGACAAGTGGTAATTTATTAAAGTTTTCTTTCAATGTGGTATAAGAAATTATTTCATTAAATATTTTCGAATTGGTTTCGTTAAAATCCGTTGGTCTGTCTTGCTTTTCTGCCAGATCCATTGCATAATCATGATTTTGTAATCCTATTCACTGGAAATTTTAAAAATTTTGTAAATATCAGTGTTCCGAGTCATGCAGAATTTCCAAATGTTGACAAATTCTATTTTATAATATAAAAATCACATGCTAATATCACCAAAAGTCTCATTTGAAAAGTATTTTAATTCTGGGAGTCTAACCCGCTCCTGGTAAAGGATGAATCTATTTCAAAATTCTGGCTTTTGCTTAAAAGTTTGGATTTTCATCTTCATCAACAAATACTGCCAGTTTTTGAGCTCAAAGGGAAAAGCTTTATTTCTTTAGAAAATTTCTAATAAAATCCCAAGCCTGAATAACCATATTTTGTCAGTTTTCCAACAAAGAAGTGGTGAGTTCAGGTTTCAGCTAAATCACACAAGTGCTTTTCCTCTAAACCACCAATGTACTAAAGCAGAAATGCTTTGCAAATATTCCATACTTGTCATTAAAAAACAGGTGTACTCAGAGGTCAAGATTTAATGAAATTAGTAACTGTTACTGCAGTGCGAATGACAGTCTAAAGAGAAACACTTCATCTTGCAGGATCCTAACAGTGAAGAATGTAATGGCTACTAGGACGGTTAGTGCTTGTGCCTTTGGTACTGCCAGCATTGCTTTTGCACCATCCGTGCAAATGACAACTCAAGTAAAAGATAAATATGGTCTTACTACCACTATAAAAATAATTTTGACCTCACAAATCCCTTAAAAGTGTCTTAAAAGTGTATGGCCCACACTTTGCATACAGTGGGCTAGATTATCCTGAATGTATTGTTATTAATTTTGGAGAAGATTGCTAACTCAGAAAAAAATAAAGTTCATGCGAAGAACAAAGAACACAAACCTTAAATTTCACTACTTTTAATATGCGCTGAATATTATTCTTCGCTCTTACAGATCTGTCCTCTCCTTTCTCCTCCCTGCTCTGTGATTCAAGAGGCTCATCGCCAGGGTCTGTGCCACGAGTTCCGTGGCTCATTGGCTTCCAGTGGATTTGGCCAATAGGAACACTGGCAAGAGGTCGGGGCAGAGGATCGAAACATCACGGTGTTTATTCTCTCGCTCCCTTCCTGCTAGACAGAAGTTTGACATCCACTGCATTTCTCTATCCAACGCCACATCTCTCATCATGGCTATAGGTCAGGGTTAGGAGAAATAATACCTGCTTAGTAATCCTACTTCCTTTATGTTTCCCCATACCTAGCTGGTCCTAGGAGCATTGAAACACTTTTGGCAATTTTCCTTTCATTATTCTTTGTTCAGTTACCCTTTGGAGTGTACTACATGCTCCCAACAGGATACATATTTATAACAATAAACTGAAGCCTTTTTATGTTGGCTAGAGCATGGGCTAGCCCTGTTAAATAAATACGATGATTGAGTATTGTGTAGCACATCAATGAGTTAACAAGTTCACGTATTTGCAGTTTAGTCATATGTGTATTTCATTAATCATATTCAAATGTCTACTTTGAGATTTATAAAACACTTCACCATATTCCAGCATCTAATGCCAGTCTTTTGAATGTTTAGTATCATAAAGAATACTTTTGAATCTGTACATATATATTATAGTATTGTAGATATAGGCCATGCTATCTTTGTGCTGACTTACTATCGTGGCTCAGAAGTTGCTTTATTGAAAAAATTTCCATTGATCTCACTTTAACATAAGTATATGATCGCATGATTGGGGTAAAGGGATATAAGAACAAACAGGAGTGAAAAAAATTCAAGAGAAGGGAGCCATGTGTGTAAACAATTAAAACTAATGCTATGTGACTATTGCTTCAGTTGCACAAGTGCTTGGGAGATCAAAGACTGGAACAATAGATTCTGCTAAGACTATGGGATTATTGAAATGAACCCTAAATGATGATTGGGATTTTAATAGGTGAACAAAGGAGTGAGGAGATGTTGAACATTCAAGGCAAAGGGAACATCATGAATAATATAATGGCAATATGCAAGATATTAAATTTAACCGTTTTACAGTTTGCCTGAGAATCCATATCGGTGGTGATTGCAGCTGCAGCGTTTGCCCTGAGATAACTTTGTCACAAAATATCACGCTTTTATTAATATTTTTGCATTGCTCTAGTATATCGACTTTGAGGGCAAAATACATCATTCTAATTATAGCATTCTGGTTTTAGTATTAACAAAATTGGTAATTATTTTTTTAAATAATGAACACAAATTTATTTCTTACCATTTTGGAGGCTGAGAAGTCTAAGATCAACTCCCCAAAAGATGTGGTGTCTGGTGAGGACTTGCTCTCCACTTGAGTGCAGTGGCACGATCACAGCTCACTACATGTAGCCTTGACCTCCTAGGCTCAAGCGATTGTCCTACCTCAGGCTCCATAGTAGCTGGGACTGCAGGCATGCGTTACCGTGCCTAGCTAACTAACAGTGACCAAGCTGAGAATCAAGAACTCAACTTCTTTTACAATAGCTGTTGCAAAAAAAATTAAAATATTTGGAACTATACCTAGCCAAGGAGGTAAAAGACCCCTACAAGGAATACTACAAAACACTGCTGAAAGACATCATAGATGACACAAACAAATTGAAACACATCCTATTCTCATGGGTGGGTAGAATCAATATTGTGAAAATGACCACACTGCCAAAAGCAATCTACAGATTCAATGCAATTGCCATCAAAATACCACTACCATTCTTCACACAATTAGGAAAAGCAATCCTAAAATTCATATGGAACCCAAAAACAGCCGACATGGTCTAAGCAAGACTAAACAAAAAGAACAAATCTGGAGGCATCCCATTACCTGATTTCAAATGATACTATAAGGCCACAGTCACCCAAAGAGCATAGTGCTAGTATAAACATAGGCACATAGACCAATGGATCAGAATACAGAACCCAGAAATAAACCCAAATGCTTACAGCCAACTGATCTTTGACAAAGCAAACAAAACATGAAGTGGAGAAAGGACACCCTATTCAACAAATGGTGCTGGGATCATTGGCAAGCCACATGTAGGAGAATGAAACTGGGTCCTCATCTCTCAGCTTATGCAAAAATCAACTCAAGATGGATTAAGGACTTAAATCTAAGACCTAAAACTATAAAAATTCTATAACATAACATCGGAAAAACCCTTCTACACATTGGCTTAGGCAAGGATTTCATGACCAAGAACCCAAAATCAAATGCAGTAAAAATAAAAATAAATAGCTGGGACTTAAACGAAAGAGCTTTTGCATGGTAAAATATAGTAATTCTTGATCACTGAAAATGTCAACTCTTAGAAAATGTAGCATTCCTATGGGTGACATTAACATCATTCTCAAACAGTTGTTGCCTGAAGATTCATTTGATGAATCCAGTGTTTTCCAAAACGGACATTTCAGTTTATTCAGACAATTCTGATGTTAGTACTGCTTAGAAATAATTCCAAGAACAATGTTTATATTTTATTTTCACATTGAAAATCAGATTTGCTTCACCCTCAGAGAGCGTGTTTATGTAAAATTATGTGAGCATTGGCAACAAGCTGCACCTTTTTTATTTTTTTTTCTAAATAGGAAAAGGGTTAAGTGAATTATCCATCAAGAAATTAGATGCAATGATGGAAGATCATAATGGCAGATTAGTTTGGGGCCTTGGTCAACTCATTTTGTAAGTTACATTTCTACCTGTTGTTAAAGTGAAGTTTTCCAGATATCTCAGCACAGTAGAGTTGATGATTTTTTCCTTTTTCTCACCAATATGCATTGCATATAACCTAGTTTTAGTTCTTACCAAATGATTGCAATAAACAATTCATTGTGGTGGTTCCTACTGAAAGGCAAAGTATCTTAATTATCCGTATATCACTAATATCTAGCACAGAGTGGACACTTAATCACTACAGGTGTTAAACGGACAAGTAATAAAACAATTGTATTGTTTAAATGTTATCTTTATTCAGATTGCAGGCAAACTTTGGGCAGCTGCAACTTTTTTGCAGTTGCTTAATCCCAGGTAGCATTTCCCAATAAAATGTTAATATTTTTGTTGCATACTAATTGTAATAAGAATAACTGCAATTTTATTTTCCACATATGTAACATGTTTGTGAAATTCCTTTATTTATACTTGAAGAAAGCCATATATTTTTTGTTTGTTGTTTGCTTTTCATTTTTAAGTTTGAGAAACAATGTTTTTTTTCTTTAGTTTTGTTTTGTTTCCATAGGTTATTGGAGAACAGGTGGTGTTTGGTTACATGAGTAAGCTTTTTTTTTTTTTTTTTTTTTTTTTTTTGGAGACACAGTCTCACTCTTTTGCCCAGGCTGGAGTGCAGTAGCACGATCTTGGCTTACTGCAACCTCCTCCTCCTGGGTTCAAGTGATTCTCCTGCCTCAGCCTCCCAAGTAGCTGGGACTGCAGTTGCCCTCCACCACGCCTGGCTAATTTTTGTATTTTTAGCAGAAATAGAGTTTCACCACGTTGGCCAGGCTGGTCTCGAACTCCCGACCTCAGGTGATCGGCCCGCCTCAGCCTCCCAAAGTGCTGGGATTACAGGCGTGAGCCAATGCGCCCTGCTGTAAGTTCTTTAGTAGGGATTTGTGAGATTTTGGTGCACCCATCACCCGAGCAGTATACACTGCACTCAATTTGCAGTATCCCTCACCCCCTTCTCACCCTTTACCCTGAGTCCCCAAAGTCCATTGTGTCATACTTATGCCTTTGCATATGCATAGCTTAGTTCCCATTTATGAATGAGAGCATAGGTTGTTTAGTTTTCCATTCCTGAGTTACTTCACTTAGAGTTATAGTCTCCAGTCTCATCGAGGTCACTGCAAATGCCATTATTTCATTCCTTTTTATGGCTAAGTAGTATTCCATCATATGTATGTACCACAGTTTCTTTATCTATTTGTTGATCGATGGGCATTTGGGTTTTTCCACATTTTTGCAATTGCGAATTGTGCTACTATAAACATCTCTGTGCAAGTATCTTTTTGTATAATGACATATTTTCCTCTGGGTAGATACCCAGTAGTGGGATTGCTGGATCAAATGGTAGTTCTACTTTTAGTTCTTCAAAGAATCTCCACAGTGTTTTCCGTAGTGGTTATATTAGTTTACATTCCCACCAGCAGGGTAGAAGTGTTCCCTGTTCACCACATCCATACCAGCATCTATTATTTTTTTTAATTTTTGGATTATAGCCATTCTTGCAAGAGTAAGGTGATATCGCATTGTGGTTTGATTTGCATTTCCCAGATCATTAGTGATGTTGAGCATTTTTTCATATGTTTGTTGGCCATTGGTGTATCTTCTTTTAAGAACTGTGTATTCATATCCTTAGCCCACTTTTTGATGGGATTGTTTTATTCTTGCTAATTTGGTTGAGTTGGTTGTAGATTCTGGATATTAGTCCATTGTCAGATGTATAGATTGTGAAGATTTTCTCCCGCTCTGTGGGTTGTCTTTTTACTAACTGTTCTTTTTGCCGTGCAAAAGTTCTTTCATTTAATTAAGTCCCAGCTATTTATCTTTATGTTTATTGCATTTGATTTTGGGTTCTTTGTCATGAAATTCCTGCCTAAGCCAATGTCAAGAAGAGTTTCTCTGATGTCTTTTAGAATTTTTATAGTTTCAAGTCTTAGATGGAAGTTCTTGATCCATCTTGAGTTGATTTTTGTATAAGGTGAGAGGTGAAGATCCAGTTTCATTCTCCTACATGTGGCTGGCCAATTTTCCCAGCACTAATTGTTGAATAGGGTGTCTTCTCCCCACTTCATGTCTTTGTTTGCTTTGTCAAAGATCACTTGGCTCTAAGTATTTGGATTTATTTCTGGGTTCTCCATTCTGTTCCTTTGGTCTATGTGCATATTTTTATACTGGTACCATGCTATTCGGGTGAATAAGATCTTATAGTATCATTTGAAATCAGGTAATGTGATGCCTCCAGCTTTGTTCTTTTTCTTTAGTCTTGCTTTGGCTATGTAGGCTCTTTTTTGATTCCATATGAATTTTAGGATTGTTTTTCCTCATTATGTGAAGAATGGTTGTGGTATTTTGATGGCAATTGCATTGAATTTGTAGATTGCTTTTGATAGTGAGGTCATTTTCACAATATTGATTCTACTCATCCATGAGCATGGGATGTGTTTCAATTTGTGACATCTATGATGTCTTTCAGCAGTGTTTTGTAGTTTTCCTTGTACAGGTCTTTCACCTCCTTGGTTAGGTGTATTCCTAAGTATTTTAATTTTTTGCAGCTGTTGTAAAGGGGTTGAGTTCTTGATTTGATTCTCAGCTTGGTCGCTGTTGGTGTACAGAAAAGCTACTGATTTGTGTACATTAATTTTGTATCCGGAAACTTTGCTGAATTCTTACGTAAGTTCTAGGAGCTTTACGGAGGAGTCTTTGGGGTTTTCTAGATAAACAATGATATTATCAGTAAACAACGACATTTTGACTTTCTCTTTTCCGATTTGGATGCCCTTTATTTCTTTCTCTTGTCTGGTTGCTCTGACTAGAACTTCAAGTACTGTGTTGAAGAGGAGTGGCGAGAGTGGGCATCCTTGTCTCATTCCAGTTCTCAGAGGGAACGTTTTCAACTTTTCCCCATTCCGTATTATGTTGGCCGTGGGTTTGTTATACGGGGCTTTTATTACATTGAAATAGGTCACTTGTATGCAGATTTTGCTGAGAGTTTTCGTCATAAAGTTTGCTGGATTTTGTCCAATGCTTTTTCTGCATCTGATGACATGATCATGTCATTTTTGGTTTTGATTCTGTTTATGTGGTGTATTACATTTATTGACTTGTATATGTTAAACCATTACTGCATCCCTGGTATGAAACCCACTTGATTATGGTGAATTATCTTTTTGATATGTTGTTGGATACAGGAAGCTAGTATTTTGTTAAGGATTTTAGCACCTATGTTCATTAGGGATAGTGGTCTGTAGGTTTCTTTTTTGTTTATGTCCTTTCCTGGTTTTGGTATTAGGGTGATACTGGCTTCATAGAATGATGTAGGGAGGATTCCCTCTTTCTCTATCTTGTGGGAATAGTGTCAATGGAATTGATATCAATTCTTTGAATGTCTTGCAGAATTCTGCTGTGAATCTGTCTGGTCTTGGAGACCACTGGCCAGATTAACCGAGAAAAGAAGAAAGAAAATCTAAATAAGCTCAATTAGAAATGAAATGGGAGATATTACAGCTGACACCACAGAAATACAAAAAATCGTTCAAGACTACTATGAATACCTTTATGTGCACAAATTAGAAAACTAGAGGAGATAGATACATTCCTGGAAAGATGCAAACTTCCTAGCTTATATCAGGAAGAATTAGATACCCTTAACAGATCAGTAACATGCAGCAAGATTGAAATGGCAATAAATAAATTACCACTAAAAAAAAAACAAGTCCAAGAAAACTTTGTTTACAAATGTAAATATGCTGGCCGAGATCACACAGCTATCAAATGGTAGAACTGTGTTTTGTCCTCTTCTTCTAAGGACGATTAGCCACGCTAGTCATTGATTTTAGAGCCGACTCTAAATCCATTATGATCTCATCTTAAAATCCTTAACTTAGTTTCATCTGCAAAGAAGATATTTACAAATAAGGTCATATTCAGAGGTTGTGAGTGGACATTTCTTTGGGGGCTACTCTTCAACTGACTAACTGACCTAAAAAACCCTATGTGATCTGGTTGACTCTTAACCTCATCTCATCTCACTCTCTTTCTCTCTGCCCCAGCCTTGCTGCTGGCCTCCTCCTATTTCAGTAATATATCTTGTAAGTGTTGACGTTTGTGACTTTGCCCTAGCTATTGCCTGGAACATTCTGCTGATAGCCCAGGCTTTATGCCTGGACTTCCTCCAAGTCTTTGACCAAACCTCACCTTCTACCCTGACAACCCTCCTCAAACCCCAGCCTCACATCCAGCATTGTCAATTCCTTTTAACAGAACCTATGCTACATTTTTATCTTCCATAAACCTATTGCCTTCTAAAATACTATTATTTGTTATGTTTATGTTTTACTGTATGTATCAGCCCACAAGGATGTAGACTGCAAAGGGACAGAGATCTGACTATAATGTTCTGTGATCTATTCTAAGACAGCAAGTTTCTTCAGTGCCAAGTTTGTATAACGTGCTAGGTTCTTCACAACACCTTTGCCAGTAATGAAATAAATCAGCTGTTTTAGAAGTAAAATACCTCTTCCGTAATCTGATTTACCAAAATGCACTAAAATAAGGGCCATATTTCTATACTAATTCACAAATAATTTATTGAAACTATGAAAGCATGTTGTGAGCTTTGTAAACATTTTAGATGAACATGTAGAATCTTGAAATCTTAATGTGAACTTATATCTACATGTGAACTTATATCCATGTGCAGGAAATCAATAAGTGAAAGTGTGGCTTCTGACCTCCTCAACAAGCTTCCTCTATGTATGAACTACCAGAGCCTTCTTAAAGAACATGACCATCCATGCATTTCCAAATAAATCAGTTGGTTGGATGCACGTAACCGATTCTGCTGAATTTTAAAGCTGAACACAGTATTTCTTTGTGAATCTATTTTCTAAAGTTCAAAGTAAACTTTCACGGATCAGTAGAAACAATTTTAAATAAAATGTTGAATGATATGATGGTCATAACCAATCGTTAGTAAAATTATGTTGCATACATACAACTCTAATTTCTTTTCACATTTAAAAATAATATACCACCACAGTTAGGTACAAAATATAATTACCGTGAATTTTGGCTTGTCTATATGAATGAAAGGAAAAAATGTAATAATAAAGTTAATGTAAGTCAAACTCCTTGCATCCCGTCTGAGTTGAAAAGCAATTGAAAAATATTTACTACTGGAATTAGAGTGATGATAAAAATGCATAGATAAATGTATATGAACGTTTATTATATTAATATATTTACCCTACATATTATATAGGTTTACATATGAATAGTATATATAATATAGGTAATTATGTGCTTATGTGCATATAAATATATATGCATGTGTGTATGTGTGTGTGTGTGTATATATATATATATATGTGTGTGTGTGTGTGTGTGTGTGTGTGTGTGTATATACAACCATTCTTCAGTATCTGCGGGGTTTGATTCCAGGACCCCTGCAGATAGCAAAATCTGCAGATGCTCAAATCGCTGATATGAAATCACATAGTATTTGCATATAACCTAGATACATCCTCCTGTATACTTTAAATCATTTCTAGATTACTTATAATACCTAATAGAATGTAAGTGCTATGTAAATGGTTGTTGTACTGTTTTTTAATGCATTATTTTTATTTTCATTTTAAAATATTTTCATCCATGATTGGTTGAATCTGCTGAACCCATGAGTAAGTAGGGCCAACTGTGTGGCTTATTACTGTTTAAGTTGAATTACTGTCATGTGGCCAGGTTCAGCCTTCTTTAATTTGCCTTTTTGTTTGGTCCTTGTGATAGTTACCTGCTAATAGGGAGATTGCCAAGCAGATAGCTTTCTGGCTAGCTGCTGGAAGCAATTACCGCCTAACTCCTGTAAAGCCCTCTTGGTAATGACAAGGAAAGATGAGCCTCAAAAGATGGAGGGGTCTAGTAGGGTTGAAGTTACCACACAAAGATTCTAATCTCCTGGGGAGACGAGTAGAGTTTCCTCATGGAAACGCAACGAGTGGGGAGTGGGAACCCCCCTAAAATATACCGGGAGAAAGATAAAAATATCTTTGGGTCTCTGTGGTATGATCTAAAGTATTCAAAGAATTTACATGGTCCAAACAAAATGCCTTCACGCTTTTTCTTTTTCTTTCTTTCTTTTTTGTTTGTTTGTTTTATTTTGTTTTTCCCTTTTAAGTTCAGGGGTACATGTGTAGGTTTGCCACACAGGTAAACTTATGTCATGGGGGTTTGTTGTATAGCTTATTTCCTCATCCATGTACTAAGGCTAGTAGTCATTAGTTATTTTTCCTGAACCTCTTTATCCTATATTAGGCAAGTTCCTTTGGCAAAGAGAATTTAGTGTACACATTGCTTCTACTTGAATGAGCACATTAAGGTGTATTTCATTCATTCATTCACTCATTCATTCATTCACTCATTCATTCGTTCATTCACTCATTCATTCATTCATTCATTCATTCATTCATTCATTTAATGTTACTGGGCTGCAAACAGGCTACTGAGCCAGGACTTCCAAAACAAATAATAAAGAATCAGCTTTTAAGTGACTGCCCAGTAAAATAATAATAATAAATAATAACAATTTTGAAATGAGTTCTTAGAGACAACTGAAAACTTTATTTGATCTTAGACATTTTTTCCATTCTTTTTTGATCCATTCAATCCCTTCATGATATATTTCCAATCTTTGCAACTCACTTTAAGCCATTTATTTTAGTAAAACACCTGTACCTTTTTCTCAGCATACACTTTTTATTACTTCCAGTTGCCTGCTGTGAGAGTTTCAGGCTCTTTATCCTTTCTTCTCACATTTCATCCAGAGTCCAGTTTGCATTAATTATTCATTTTCTGGCTCTTGGTTCAGCTGAACAGCATTTTGAAGTTTTCCCAAATTAAACTAAAGCAAAAATAACAAACAAAACTTCTCCCTTAGGCGTATGATCGCTTTCATCTCTGTCGTCATTTCTCTCCTGGTCATAACTGACACTTTTATGTGTTTTCTGCTTGCTCTAGTTCTCTGCCTCTCTGCTTCTTCTCTAGTGGCATACACATATTTGCATTGACTTGCACCACCAACATCATAATACTTTTTTTATGAAGATCAGTAACTACCTTCTGTTAACCAAATTGGGGGAGGGGAAATACTCTCACGACCCTATTTAAAAATATTCCCTACATGCTTCCTTCACTCTGGCAATTATTCCTAATCACCCTCCTTGTTTTATTTCACTTTATAACACTTATTGCCATCTGATGTACCACAAATTTTATTTCTTAGACTTGTATAGTATGTCTCCATTTACTAGAAATTAAGCTTAATGGAAGATAAATTTGCTTATTTTTTATTAGGGGCTGAATCCCTTACCTCCAGAATGGTACCTGGAATAGACCAGGCACTCAATAAACATTTGTTGAAGGAACAAATAATGTGTCTTCACTATTCTTACTAGAAAAAAAATGAATTCTTGTATGGATTAAATTGCAATTAATGTTAATTAATGTTAATTAATATTTAGGTACATAAGTGCTTTAAAATTGTGGAATACATGGATTCATTTGACTTCTTTAGCTGCCTTTTCCATTTTTTCTTTACTTCCCTGAACCTTCTTTAATAAATGATCATTATTAGTAATATCTTTTTTAGTTTTGTTATTACTTGGTCCTTACTCTTTATTTAATACTGACATTTTATTAGCTTGGGATTATAGTCTGTACCACTTTTACTACTTCTTAAGTTATAGAAGAGATGGTAAATGTACCTAAAAACTAAGAAACATAGCAAAATTGTATAAGTAAGTTTAAATCTGCAAATAAAAACATGATCTGTAATACATTTGTAAGATGTACTTTTCTTTTTTTTTTTCTTTTTCTTTTTCTTTTTGAGAGGGATTCTCCCTCTGTCAACCAGGCTGGAGAGCAGTGGCGCGATCTTGGCTCACTGCAACGTCTGCCTCGTGGTTTCAAGCAGTTCTCCTGCCTCAGCCTCCCGAGTATCTGGGATTACAGGTGGCTGCCACCAAGCCCAGCTAATTTTTGTATTTTTAGTAGAGATGGGGTTTCATCATGTTGGCCAGACTGGTCTCAAACTCCTGACCTCAGGTGATCCACCTGCCTCGGCCTCCCAAAGTGCTAGGATTACAGGTGTGAGCCATCACGACCATCCAAGATGTACTTTTTGAAATTTTTTACATCACAGCACAGATAAAAGTGGTATTGGAATTATATCACCTGTCAGACTAGGATAAACAGAAGATGATACTCTCAGCTGGTAGTGAGAAACCCTGAACTGTAACTCTGATTCGATTTCTTGGCATCCCGTGGTATTCATGAAACCCTGGAGTGCTTCACTTCACTGTTTAGAAAGCTCTGGCTAATGTTGTCGCTGGACAAAGAGTGTTTACAAATCAATTAGAAAAAAAATAACGAAATTTAAAAATGGAATAAAAAAGTAGAAAGGCAAGCTAACAGAAAATATATTTCAAGCTCAATAACGAAGTCATGAAAATTTCAATGATATTTACGTATTTTTCTCAATTACCCTGATAAATATTTTGGAAACATATTGTATTTACTTAGTATGAGAGGCTAAACTGATAATACATATTAATACTAAAATTGCTCATTTATTTTACCAGCCGTTCAAATCAGCCAGGATATCAGTCCTTGTCAACATCAGCATAATGTAGAAAGATAAATGAAGGAAGAGTTAGCAAACATTTGAAAAGCTTATTGTCTTTCATTGTATTAGAAAACTAAAATGTGACATTGATTAAAATAGTAAAAATTTGGACATGATTCAGATATTCATTAACAGATGATTGGTTAAATGATATATGAAAATAACGGCATGCATGTAAATATGCACTGACGTAAAAATGACAACAAAAGCTGTTAAGTAAAAAATATATGAATTATAGATGATATAGTAGTTCCAAACACATAATGTACATTATGGTACCATATGGGATATATACACACACACATATTTGTGTATATTTTGCAATATACTCACAGAGAAAAATAAGCTTTTTATAATGGGGTGGAGAAGATCCACTTCTTTTGATAGGACGTTTAATTTCTAATTAGCACATAGATGGAAGACCCAATGTTTATGTAGTGTTACTGTGAATCACCTCTTTGAAAGCTTTGGATATATTGTGTTTTTTAATCCATAATACTTGAGTATTGTACAAGTATGACCTTCATTATTATAATGAGAAAAACTAGCTTTAGCACCTAACATTGCAGAGAAGCCTGTTCATAAATTAATCATAGTGTCTTCTACTACTATGGTTTTTATCCCGCCCTCCTTACACTTCACAGCTTATTTTTCTCAACTTTGTAATGAGCTTCAATGTTTCACACCTATTTGACTTTAAAAATTTCCCCCTGGCTGAATTTTCTATCAGCAGACTCATTGACCTCCTACATATTCCTGAAGATCTATCTAAATTATTTTGTGTTTTGAAGCTTTCAATTACTCCTCTTCCCCAACAATAACTCATATACTTTCTTTCCTGTCATTAACACTTTAGTTCTTCTGTTTTTGCATTTATTATACTTTAATGATTCATGAGTTACCTGAATATGTTTGGTACTTAGCAGGGAGAAAGGAAGGAAGGAAAAAAAGGAAAAAATGGTGGCAGAGAAAGAAGGAAGGGGGAAAAATGAGAGAGAAAGTAAATGAGAGAGGGAGAGTGGTAAAAATGATGCAGAGAAAGATGGGGGGACGGAAGGAAGGAAGAAAGGACAGAAAATTAAGAGAAGCAAAATGAAATATTAATGATAAGCCAGATACAGTGGCTTACGCCTGTAATACCAGCACTTTGGGAGGCCAAGGCAGGCGGATCACCTGAAGTCAGGAGTTCGCGACCAACCTGATCAACGGAGAAACCCTGTCTCTACTAAAAATACAAAATTAGCCAGGTATGGTGGTGTATGCCTGTAATCCCAGCTACTAGGGAGGCTGAGGCAGGAGAATCACTTGAACCCGGGAGGCGGAGGTTGCGGTGAGTCGACATTGCACCATTGCACTCTGGCCTGGCCAACAAGAGCGAAACTCCATCTTAAAAAAATAATAATTATTATCATTATAGCTATGAATTTATTGAAAAATTTATTTTTTAATGGATAAGATCTTTAAAAAATTAAGTAGGATACAGTTTACTTTTTTTTCTTTTTTTATTATTATTATACTTTAAGTTTTAGGGTACATGTGCACAATGTGCAGATTAGTTACATATGTATACATGTGCCATGCTGGTGTGCTGCACCCATTAACTCGTCATTTAGCATTAGGTATATCTCCTAATGCTATCCCTCCCCCCTCCGCCCACCCCACAACAGTCCCCAGAGTTTACTTTTAAAAAATGCTGGAGCACACAACACTGCCAAGAAAAAAAGGTTTACCTATGAACACTCATGGGTTCAAAACAAATGGTGAAAGTTAGTGGTTTTTGTTTTGTTTTGTTTTTAATACAGGGTCTCACACTGTTGCCCAGGCTGGAGTACAATGGCATGATCATGGCTCATTGCAGCCTTGTCCTGCTCAGTTTAAACCATTCTCCCTCCTCAGTCCCTGAAGTGGCTGGGACTAAATGTGTGCATCACCATGCCTGGCTAATTTTTAAAATTTTTCAGAAAGACGAGGTCTCATTATTTTGCCCAGGCTGGTCTCAGATTTCTGAGCCTAAGAGATCCTCCCTTCCAAAGTGCTGACAGTAGTGTTAATAACTAAAAGAGATCTGGGGTAACAAAAGCAAGCCTTCTGTATTTTGAAATTATTCTAGACTTGTCCTAAAAACTATGCTAGCTCATCTACATCTCCCCACAGGCTTTCTTTGTTCAGCAAATCCAGTAAGTCTGGGCTGGTTTTCTTAGAGCATTCTTTTTTATACAAGGCATTGTTTTACAGTAAGCAGAAAAGTCGCTCCACATAAATGTGAGTTTTCTTTACAGTTTCCAATTACAGAATTTCACCAATGAGTGTGTGAGGGGTCTGTGGCACATTTGAACCTGAAGTTTGAAACGAGATTTTCACTATTTAAATTAAGTAGTCTAAAATTGTCTCCAATACAGTTTCCATGAAGGCAAGTCACAGAACTTATTCAAGTCTTGTCTATCAAGTCAGCAAAGTAAATATACATACTAGTAAATATATGTATTGTATAGTCAACTTAAAATATCCTAACAGATTCTACTTTTCAAACAAAGATCCAGACTCCTTGTATTGCTGTTAGTTAAATAGGTCTTGTGAGAAAATTTGCTTTATTTAATCTTGTATTTCTGAATAAAATGTTTATCTCATTACTTTTCTCATATTTTGGATTATATTTTCATGAGAGATTTTTAGATAGATTTGTGTTTTCTCGTTTCTAAAATTTTGAATGAACCCACTGTTAAAACCACATTTGTTAAGACTTTGCATTTGTTTAGATATCAAGGAACTTTGAGTATTAAAAAGAAATTAAACCCATATAAGTTGCATATTTTGGAGACTTCGCTAATATAAAAAAATCTTGTATTGCTCTATTAAAGCATGACTAACATTTTCTTTGTTAAAAGCCAAAAAAGTCTTGGCCCATAAGCTTCCCACTAACATTCTTAAAATGTTACATTGCAGGATTCTGGATTCAAAGTATTTTTTTCCTCTTTAAATAAACTATTTTTCCTTTCGATTATAAAATTTAGTATATATTTTATTGACTCCTAGTATATATCAAGCCCTATTTTGAGCTTTTGGGATTAATTACACAAGATAGACAAGATAGCGCTTGGGATGAATTAAACCAGATAATTACACAAGATAGGGCTTGTGCTTACATCTTAATTTTTAGGAGTCATTATGTTGAAGTCTCAGCAGAGTAAACCACATCTGTGGTTCTATATGAGCAAACTTCATATTTTTCTCAGCATTCCACCATAGGTTGATTGTGTCCTTGTCTTATATGATGCAGATGACTTAGATAAGACATGTCCAGGAATTTCAAATTTGGACACTGAAATAAGAATACCTTGGAGTTGTCATGGAGATCACAACATTGCATTTGCTGTGGGATCCCAAGACCTGGTATATACATGCATTAATCAGTGAATATATCATGCATTTTACAAAAACAGTGATTCTTCTGACATGGGGACTTCTAGTAAAATTTTTGAAAATGTTACAAATTGCCTCATATTGTTTTATATAATAAAGAGAAGGAAGACTAAAGGAAGAGTAAATAAATTCATCTAAAAAGAGAAGGTGTGGCAGGAGAAGGAAAGAAAACATGAGATCAATAGCCCCTTACCTTTTTGGTATTTATGATACAATTCCATGTACAAGAATGTTAGACTGGTCATACGAAGGCATTCTGACATAATCCTCTCACAAATTTGTTAAGACATATTTTGATTTTCACTTGATGGGGAAAGAATGGAAAAATCACATTTCAGAGTAGTTTAGAATAAAATCATCTCATTATCTTTGGGGCACCTTTATTTCAAAGTCCTTAAAGTACTTTACAAATATCTTCTGAAATAGTGTGATCCCTCTCTAAAGACATATTGTAAAGTGGAGAAAATTATCAGGAACATCTACAGGCCATTTCGTTAAATCTGGAAAGAACTGCATACAAATATAAAGCAAGTATTCCTTTATTCTAATAGAGTTACAATGAAGTACCAAAATATTTTAACAAAGATAAAAGGAGGAAAGAAACATATTAAGTGGGAAAAGAAGTGATACTGTAATGACCTGGCACAAACATACTCAACTAGGAACCTGGGAGGAAGTTTGCACTTGTTACTGTCTGGTGGGCTCGTCACATCTGCTTTACTGTGGTATTTCTCCAGTTCTATTGCTGAACAGGATCTAATGCATCTATGCTGTGCAAACACATTTCTGAGCTCAGAACTTCAGAGCTCGGGATCATTTTGGTATCTGTTGGGTAACTGAAGGAGGAATAAAGAGTATATTAAAGATGATAAGAAAAATCTTGAAAATGTTAGAGCACCTGAGCAATAGACAGCAAATATAGAATGCAATACCGAACAACAGTAAAATCAAAATAAAGAAAAAACTGAATAAACATCCACAACAAAAGCTAAGATTATAAGAGTTGAGACGTCAGCACAGACTTTGTTGCAAATAGCAATGGGGCAATTGTGAATAGCAATAATTAGTGATGGTTATTAGCCCTTTTTTGAGTAAGTTATAATATAAAATGTGGCTGCAAAGATTTATTTTTCTTTTGTTTCTATTAGTCTTCTTTAGGAGAATCATTAAAACAAACAAAAATGAAAAGGCTGAAAAAATGGGAGAGTCAAATTACTGGGTAATATAGGGTAAAAAACAGATAGAATTATTATAGGACAAGAATCATAAGCCCTTCAATGCAGTTTAACAGGCTGGATTATAACATAAAAATAGAATGCAATAAATAGAATGAGATTAATATAGTCTGTACAGTGGAGATACTGGAAAGGATCGTTAACAGAAAATGAAGAAAATATACTTTCAACAAATCACATTTGGTGCTCAGCCCAAGGAATTGTGAAGCAGAAAATAAACCATTGTTCTGTAATGACATGGGGGATGAAAAAGGTACATGCTTTCTCGTCGCTTTAGAAACAAACGCTAATAATTTCGGCATAAAGATTGGACTTTCAAGTCAGCAAATTCAGTATTCCGTATGCTTATTTCCACTAAATTTATTACAACACATACTAATTATTCTTAAAGTAGAAGTTTAACAGACATGGAAATTGGGCACACCATTACTCAAAAGCAAGTTTAGTTTATTTTAATTTAAAAGCAGGCTGTAAGTTGGGGTAATATAGAAATGAATGATTGGGAGTTTGTTTTCATCAAACATTATAGTTGCCATTAAATTAAGAAATAATTTAAAATAGGCCTTTTTTGTAGCATGTCAGCAAGGATAGATATAAATGTTTACGAATATTGTTTTTGTCTGCTGACTAGTTATAGAAAGGTGATGAAATGGCTTAGTAAAAAAACTCATAGCAAAAGTATAATGAGACAAAAAATCTCATAGAGGATAGCAAAAGTATAATGAGACAAAAAATCTCATAGAGGATAAATTTGAAATAATTGATACATAGGTTGAGAGAAAATTATATCAACAATGCTAAGTGAGGAAAGACGTAAATTCTTAAGTTCTTATGAGTCAAAGCAATGAAAATAAGATGATTTACGTAACTCCCATTATCTAGCTGTTAGGACATTTTTTTCTGGTCTAATAACCCAGATATGGATGTTGCCACATTAGCTAACTTGCCTAACTTTCAGTTTTCTTTTAGCTTCTGAATTGAGTAGGGTAAATTTTAGATCATCCTTTATATTTTATGAGTTTGGTAATATATTAAATATTTTTATTATACTTTTCCCAAATGTTAAAGTATTTGCTGTAGGTCTGTTCCTAGGCTTCTTATGTTGCCATGTGGTTGAAATTAAAAGTGTTAGTAGATATGTAATATTAACACACAGGTGAGATTGTCATGAAGGGAATTCAAAAGTGCTAGTAGATAGTTAACATGAAGATACAGGTGACTATTCGAAACCTACAGTTATGAAGTGTACATTTGGGACATCCAATTATGTTTTTCTGATAAATTTCAAAATAAAATGTGGGGGTTCCACAAAACTGTTGACTGGTTTTATCTATTTTTAATACATTTTGGACTATGTATAGCAATAGTGTTCAGCTATCGAAACCATCAGTGGAAAAGAATGCTTTTTATTTTCTGTATGTTTATTTTTAATTCTTTGTAGACCAATATTTTATAAAATATAAATTGATTGTGGCATGTTTACATTTCTATAAAAGTATCTAAATATTTAGTTTCAATTGCTGTATTTACCTTGTTGTTGATAATTAATTGATAGTTAGCAGACTTTGAAAACTGACACCAAACTGAGAACTACTTTTAAGAATATTAGGTAAAACAATGAGACAAACCATTTTATAAGTAAAACGTGATAAAATATAATTTCCTTTCTATAAAAGCAGTTTTTCAGAAATGTGTAATCTTCCTGACAGCAAGACAAATACAATCATACTACCAGAAGTCCGTTTCTCTCACAAACTAATTCTATCTTTTGGTTATCTCTCAGGAATCCCCTTTCTTGAATAAGTGAATTCTTAAAACTAATGCTTTAAGGAGCCACTCCTTAGACCCAACCCATTTTCTACTCTTCACATTTGTTAAACATTAGGCCTCAGTTCTCCAGCCCTCAGGAAGAACTTCTAATAGCCCAAGTCATGATAGAATACTTTAAAGTGACAACAAATGCCTCAGTGGTATACATCCCGTTGAACTGCTTTTCTTAATATGTAAAATTTCTCCCAGAACTTTCCATCCTAGAATGAAAGCCCAGTGAAGGCAGGGCGTGTGTCTTTACTCATTCACCTTGAATTCACAACACCCAGCAAACTGCCTAGCATGACAGACATAGCCTATGAAACAACTGGTACAAAAGGATCAGGACTCCTTTTGTACATTATCAGGACCAGGAAGAAAGATACGCTTCGACAAATAATATGACATTCATGATAAAAATATGTGAATCTCTGATTAAAAACCTGATTAATATAAATAAAATCTGGTTCTTTTTTCTCCCAACTTTATTGAGATAATTGACAAATAAAAATTATATATATTTAAGTTGTATAATGTGATATTTCAATATACATACACATTGTGAAATGATTACCATAATCAAATTAATTACATATCTATCACCTTACATAGTTACCTTTTTTGTGTAAAACAAGTTCTCAACTTGCTATCTACTCCCTTAGCAAATTTCAAGAGTACAATACGTTATTAGTAACTCTAGTCATCATGCTGTATCGTTATTTTTATGTTTATTCAAAATATTGTAAATATTACTTCTATGTGACAATTAGGTAATTTTAGAATGTAAGAAACGAAATTAAGGGGGGGAAATAATGATTACAGTTCATGGAACAATCCCCAGATACTATGTATTTATTTCCAGATTTGACCAAGTAATCAACTGATGAACAAAAATAATAATCACTGGGGAAATAATTGGAGGAAAGAGTGAAAAAATAATCTTAGGTGTAATCAAAGAGTAAAAAAATTGAATTATAAGTCTATTTTCCTAACCCTCAGAAGAATTCATACTTGAACAATTTAAAATTTATATAAAGAAATGAATGTATGCCTCACTGCCTAGAACTACTGAAGGAAGAAATTGACTGTGTGCTCCATTTTGGACTATACTTGCCTATTGCACTACGAACTGAGTTGAAGATCGCTTAGGTCAGCATTCACACTTCTTCCATGTTACAATTACTTTCCCAGCAGAAACTGTCAGTTTTATCTCTAAGAAGTCTCTAAGACGGGCTCTTACAGCTAAGAAACAGGTTGAGCATAGAATAACGTCCCTTCATATGTCTTGCCCGGCCTTATTTTCTTCTTTAGGTATTTCAAAGAGCCTGCTTGATCCTGGGAAGAAGTATCAAAGATAACAATTTAACTCCCATACTTCTCACATAACCCTGCCTTATGTTGGATCTTTCTGGTAACACGAAAACTGTCACACATATGCTCTTTTTTTCCTCATAATAATAATCCATGCATAGGATTACAGAATTTAGTAAGCACTTTTATACTCATTATTCTACTTAATCTTCAATAAACTGTGAGATGTATATTGCTCTCTCCAATTTACAGGAAAATAAATTGAGTCCCAGGCAGACTAAATGACATCAATAAGATCTGCAAGCTAGCAGAGTGGCCAGATTTGCTGCCACACGTTTCCTACAGTAAACTATTTCTTTTCTAACATAAAACACAGAACTTTATTTCTGAATCCAAGTAAGGAGATGGTTAATATCCATTTAAAATTTACCAGTATTGACAAATACCCTGAGTAACATTGTAAAACAAGTGAAATTTTACTTTCATGCTCTATTCTTTTCTCAGTATTTCTCTGTCGGAGGCATCTGGGGCCTTCACTCTGCTAATTGTATACAGATTCTCTATGAAGGCAGCTTTCATGGGTGCAGTTGTAGGCTCTAAATAATTTTGAATACTCTTTCGTTCTTTACTATTATCTTGCTTATACTCCTAATATAATAAGATCATTTGTTAAAAATATAAAATTTCTACATTGACATACAACATTAAATAGAAATACTGTATAGTTTTTCTCTACAGGACAACAGCTGCTCGGTCTTATTACATTCATCTGTAATTCAGTTTCTAGATATGTTACTTCTTATAGGAAATGTCTGCCTTAAAGGAGGCCTTCTGGCAAGAATGTGTTTCCTCATTCTGATATAAAAGTGTGTGTGAGTGTGTGCGTGTGCACACACATGCATGTTAATTGGAAGATCTGGCCTAAAGCCAGCACCTCTGCTTATTTTTACTCTCTAGACATGCTATGGAGTCTCCTCAAGTAGCATTTGAATATTAACATAAGTTGCCCTCACTAACTCACAGGCTATTTCTGGTGATAAATTTAAATGGCCTTTTGGAAACCATACAATAAATAAGCATGTTTCCATTATTATAGAGAAATTATTATAATAATTAGGTTTTCTTATATTAAAGGAGGTCAGAAAAAGATGAAGTTTTGTTAACCAGTGCAGTTCCAAGTCTTTTAGCCACACTGGCCAAGTTATGTGTATTCAATGCACTGATCATCTGTAATATGTAGTGTGAGCCAATTTCATGCACACTTTCGTTGCTGTCACAAATTTGAGGTGGTGCATCTGAGTCTTTTGAACTTTCAAGATATGTTCTCAACTGTTATTCCAAGGAAATATCTAAACGAACAAAATACAGCTTTAATAAATTCACTTTTTTCTTAAGGAGTTATTTAAAAGTGTTAAGCGTAGATCTGATTCAAAGGAACTAAAATCCTGTGAAAGATGTCAACTGTCTCACTTACTGTAATGTTCTTGTTTAGTAGAACAATATGATTTCCATGATGACAGAATAAAGCATTCTGACTTAACGCTTTATTTCATCTCTGATATTTTCAGGACCTATGGCAATTTGTCTTTTTATTAAAATATGCATTCATCATTCACACTAATTCCCTTTTTGTAGGAGCATTAACTCATTGGCTCAAGCTTATTTCTGTGTCTTTTCTTCATATAATTTTTACAGTGAGAAAAAGTATAATACATTTGCATTTATTTCTGAAAGCACTCATATTCTGTTGTGATAAACAATTTTTGTATTAATTTGGATAATCCATTATGCAATTTTGGAACTTATATGATTGAAAACATGTATTTATATTTAAATGAATCATGAACACTTGTGAAGCATTATTTAATGTTCTGTTTTTCATTAATATCAAAGGACCCAATGAATCAAGGGGTATTTCTTTGAAAGTCACTGAAATTACAGAACAGTTTTACTTCAGGGGATTGTAAAAACACTCTCCCATTAATAAAAAAAGATATAAGTAGCAGGATAATTTTGTAAAATCTTCGAGCACCTCATTAAGCACAATTTTCCAAAATATTATTAAATGAACTAAGAAATGAATAAAAGTGATTTTCTTGAAGTGCCTTCCTAATTTTAAGTATCTAATCAGCATTTCTAGCAACAATAATTTCAAAGTAGGTTACCACTCACATTAAAACTTCCAATTTTGAATTTATGATCACAATTTCATGGTGTTTAATAATTGTTATTAAATGTTTCAAATACTAACATATGGCTTTATTTACCTGTCTCTTCATGTCCTAATTAGAAGCCATTTTTCCCATTTCCAAAAAGAGCCTTAAGGTATCACATGCTTGAATCATGATTGGCCAAGCTTATTGTTATGCTATTATGATAGATTAATTA
This sequence comes from Homo sapiens, assembly GCF_000001405.40. Taxonomy (NCBI): domain Eukaryota; kingdom Metazoa; phylum Chordata; class Mammalia; order Primates; family Hominidae; genus Homo; species Homo sapiens. Next base: position 14,414,659 of record NC_000008.11, on the reverse strand, counting down.
CATTTTGTGCTTGTGGCTATAGCATTGGTTGGAGGTGACATATCACACATTTTCTCAGCTATCCTTAAACTAAGTTATTTTTAAATTCCATGACTTGTTAATACTTTTGAAGAGGTTTATAAGTTTAATTGAATGTTGGTCTTTTAATTTGCCTAAATTTATCTCAAGCAGGTTCCAAACATAACATTTAAAATACCTCAGACCCATCCTGAGATTTACATAATCAACATTTCTGAGGGTGGGGACCTAGGAATTTTACTTGTACTCTCCAGGGAGTTCCTATGCACACTCAATTTAAGAAACACTAATTCAAGAGCATGAGGACCATAGTGTCATACGTATATAGTATATCTAAATTAAGTAACGTCTAGATAAACAACTGATAATGAATTAGGAATATAAAACCAATTTTTGCTTTAAAAGATGTCTCTCTCTAGCGTGTGCGTGTCTGTATGTGTGTGTGTGTGCGCGAGTGTGTGCGTTCATTTCTGTGTTAGGCTATTTTTTGCCTTTTGTTTTTCTAATCTCTTAAATTCATGTGCAAGTCACATTATATAGCTAAGACTGCTAAATTTATCTGATGTTAAAACTAACGTGGATCTCAACTGTTGTGAAAGGTATAAATTCAAATAATGTTATTTATTTTCATGGGGTATCTTGAGAAACAGTCTCGATTAATAATCTAAAGAACAATAGGAGAAGGAACCAGTCTTGCAGAAAAGTAAATGATGAGTTTATTTAACACCCTTTTATTGTAAACTTACAGAGTTCTAGATGACTGGATATATCAGAGAACAAATCAAAGAAAGATTCTGTTCTCCTAGGATTTATGTTCTATCTAAACCATATATGTATGAATGGGTTTGTAAAACAGACTCTTCGTTAGAATGTGGGTGTGTTTTTATAGGATGACAGATGACAAGCAAGCATAGACAAAGAAGATGCAATTTTAGTGCTCTCAAAAAAGGAAATAGGCAAAGAGGTAAAATGTGCTTTATTTTTAAAATGTTGAGCATTTTCAAGACAGTGAAATCTAAGATATAAACATTATCAGCATATATTTCAAAAACTACTTAAGTTGTAATATAATGACCTCTAGAGATGGAACAAGTTTTAATATGTAATCCTGAAACATCCATTTAGCTTGTATAAGATTATTGCACTCAGCAGGATCCATTAGGACAATCCACTTACGACAGAAATCTTAAAAGAGGAAAGAACTCTTTCCTTGCAAAGATAGAAGAAAGAGAATAAAGCAACAAAAAAATTGAACTTATTGGGCAGAGAACTACATATAAATAGCTTAAAAAGTAAGGATATCATTGAGGTATGAAAGGTGAGCTAATATTGCTGACACAACGTGTGTTCTGAACTTCCTGAGAATAACCTGTACCCTTTGTCGATTGAATAATTACAACATTACCTAAGAGATTGTCGAAGTAATATCATGAAAGTATATTTTTGTCTTACTGTGTTGCTCTAGTTGGTGTTACTATCTCACGCTACCTTATGATTTACAGAAAAGATATTGATAAGAAGTTTAAACTTAATGATGCGAACTTGGTCAATTTTTTTAATGCATTGATCTTTATGCAAAGCATAACAATTCTTAAAATTTTTGTCTTAAAATTTTGGAGCAAAATCTAACTGTTGTCCTTTATAACAAAAGTTTAATATACAAATTATGAATGCTAGCTATTTGTTATGATTTTACTTTTCTGACATAATACACCTATTTAAATGCTACTTGAATAGATAATAATTCATACCAGACAAATATTTATTATTTGCATCCATATCTATCAAGTTTCAGAATGTCAAATACTCTTCAAGTTCAACTATTTTAATTAAAGTTATGCCATCCTTATAGTTGCTGCTATTTTGATACCTTGTCACGTGCGCATTATTAGTGAGCTTTTTAATATGCATATTGTGCATATTGAATACATTAGCCCTTGTGAGAGATTTCCACCATGGTTGGTTGTAATTCCTTATTGAAATGAATAGCACAAGAAAATGAGGCAGATTAAAAGGTTAGGTTACTCATTAAGATGTTCGCTGTTGTGTAGTTCCTTAAAGTTAATGCAGAGTATGTGTTTTTACCTGATGACTAGATGAATTATTTAAACAGAACAGCTGCAAAAGGCAAGGCCTGGCAGCATTTATGCTGAGATTATCTATTTTAATTGGAAATGCAATTCATTTGAATATTTCACCACATAATTCCATTCATATGAACTAGACATTCAAATGTACGCATACCCAGTGATCTAAAGGGAAACACATAATTATAATAGTTGCTGTAGATTGGATGCAAACTATGTGTCACAGTCTACTAAATGCTTTACACATATTTTCTGTAACCCTTATAAAAATACCTTAGGGTCTAAAATATTGTTTGATTTTTTCCAAAAGAGGAAACTGAGGCTTCTTTTCTCAATATCATAGAGTTAAGGTTTGCATTCCGGTCTGTGAGACTAAAGCCCATAGTTATCTTTACATTACTATTTCTCATTGTCAATTAGAATTTTGTAATACCATATGACACATACTGTTCTTTTCTGCAAATCAATCTTTGAATGGCAATTTTGAGGTCAACACTGGCTTTATGGGAAGGATGGTCATATTGTTGTGAACAAAGAAGATGCACGCCCTTGCATTTAAGAAGAGAGCAGTGTATTTTTACTCAGTATACTCTTCCCAGCTGTTTACCTCTTTCCTGTCAGCCTCCTTCAGCATTTCTTCAGAGGTCATGTAAGATTGAAATACTTGTTAATTCTCCTTCCGTTCCATCAAATAGAAATGTTTGGAAGTGTTTTTTACTGTACTGGAAAAAGAGCACATTTTTAAGTGTCATGAATTCAATGAAACATGTCAGTGAGTTTTATTGATGACTAATATTGAATGTCTTTATATATAATCATGGAAATACAGAATACTAATATTATAATAGTATTTACACATGAAACAAATATTTAATGAGGTTTAAATTATATGCTAGACATTTTATTAGGTGGTGGGTATATGATGCTCTAAAGTAATAAATATGGCTCATACCCTCAGAAAGCCTAGAGGTTTGGGGAGGTACTTTGGAAGTATATATTTCTCTATGTCAGCTTGAACTTTATATGCTGTAGGCAGCAAGTGAAGTATCACATTCTCAATCTTCCCTCGGTAATGTCATTATAAACTTGATATTGGTTTCAGCATAATTAGGCATTTTGTGTAATGAACCAAGATTTTTCTAAATTGAAGTAGGCATGACCTTAAGAATTTCCATAAGTAACAGAACACTAATATGTTTTATATATCTGATGACTAAAAACAATGGTTTCTATACGAATGTTTATGTAAAAACTTTTACGTTTTTTGTTTTTGTTAAGAGCACAAATAGAATGACTTAGAGTCTCTTCATACTATGTAAGAGTTGTAGGGCTGTTTCTAAGGAGAGAACATGCTTATGGTCTTATAAATATTATTAATGAAAATTATTTCTAATTTGAAAACTTAATCTCAATAATAGCAGAAACAAAACGCATTGGTTGGCGCCATAATGATATTTTAATTTCATAGTAGAGTTGTTTACTATCTAAATGTTCTTTAGCTTTTTAAAATATTTCTATCTGGAATTGTAATTGTTTCAAAGAGCACAAGAACTTTCTGAATCTTGTTTTTAAAATTGCTATTGAAATTTTTTTAAAAGAAAAAACGTTGAAGAAAATTTATCACCATTGTTTAGTTTAAACTAACAAACTAAACATTTCTGCTTTTTAAACTTTTCCCTCAGATAGCAGTGTTCCATTTGAAAAGAAGAGTGGTTGAAATGAAAGCTTAATTACACTCTTAGAACTCCTATTTTTGTTCGTTTCATTGGTTTTTGTATATTTTACTTTAAGTTCTAGGATACATGTGCAAAACGTGCAGGTTTATTACACAGGCATACATGTGCCATGGGGGTTTGCTGCAGCTATCAACCCATCATCTAGGTTTTAAGGCCTGCATGCCTTAGGTATTTGTAGTAATGCTCTCCCTCCCCTTGTCCACCACCCCACGACAGGCCCCAGTATGTGATGTTCCCCTCCCTGTGTCCATGTGTAGAACTTCTGTTTTTTTTTTTTTATATTAACTTAGAATTACACAGCATTTCACATTACAGTCCAAAAATAGAATTCCATCCTTCTGTGAATTTTGAAATAGAACACTTCTACTTGGAGATCCATTTGGGTCATTGAAAATCAGCCTTTTCTGTTTTTTTTTTTCTTAAATTATTGAACAAAGTAAGTTACTTTTACCTTTTGGAGTTTTCAAACTTACATACTCAGAATGCTCAGAATGTGGATATTAAGACCAGTGTCTTATAATTCAGCAGTCCCCAACTTTTTGGCATCAGGGATGGGTTTTGTGGAAGACAGTTTTCCACAGGCAGAAGGAAAGGGAGGAGGGAAATGGTTTCGGGATAAATGTTCCACCTCAGATCATCAGGAATTTGTTAGATTATCATAAGGAGCACACAATCTAGATCCCTAGCATGCGCAGTTCACAATGAGTTTTGCATTCCTTTAAGAATCTAACGCCACCCCTGGTCTTACTGGAGGCGGAGCTCAGACGGTAATGCTGGCTGGTTACTTCCTGCTATGTGGCTAGGTTCCTAACAGGCCATGGAGGGTTACTGGTCCGTGGCCTGGGAGTTGGGGACCCCTGTTCTAATAAACTCATTGATTTTAAGGGAAAGCTAATTTTCAAAGACATTTTTACCTCCCATATATTGTGTCATATTTATTATGTGTATAAATAACTGTTCATATTTGTAAATGAAATTGTTTCCAAATTGTTTATATTAGGAAAGCAATATTTTCAAACTGGTAATCTACTTTCCAAGTATGTGTTGCTATATATGTATATCAGTAGATTTTATTTATTTAAGACTACAAGAGGGATTGAATGAATGTTCTCAACAAGTAAACGTTATTTCACAAATATGGTGGTTAGCGTTAGCTATTTTTGCTGACATGTAATAGCAGGAGTGTCTCAAATAATCATTTTATTAATATAATTAATGCAAATTTTGGATCTTGCATCTTTGTACAGAGTAAAAGACAACTCTCCCTGTCTTTAATTCCCATAAGTTCTTATGAGGCAGCCATGTAAAACATATTTTAAAAGTGAATATTCTGATTTTTTTTTCAAATTCTGAGCCAGCATTACCAAACGCTGAGTGTCTAAGCTGACCAAAATAGAGGATATTGAAATATTTACTTAATGATACGATCAATATTTACCTCCAAACTACATTTTTTAAGTTTTTTAAATCTCATTTTTGGATCCTCAGGTTGAGGGAGAATAAGAGGCCCCCTCCTATACATACATGTGAAAATCTTCAGGAGAAAGTATAATTTGAGAGTCACTGTCTAAAGGCCTTGTAATATACATGCTCATATTAATTTTCTAGTATAAGTAAATGCTTAATAAATAACGTGTTGGTTATATAAATGAGTGACTAATTGATTTTTGCCACCATATCTCTGTAATAATCAGTTCAACAACTTAAATAATCCTACACTTACTGAGAACTTAGCATTTGCTAACACTGGGATCTGTGTCGTGTATCAAAACTGAAATGATCCTGGAACTGAAAACCTAGTTAATGAGGCCAAAAACAAAATACACACACACACACACGCACACATGCACACACACACACACACACTCTCTTAATTTAAAAATGTGTTAGCTTTTATGAAGTAATAAAAATATATATTCATAAAAGAGAATAAAAAGAATTTGAAGTAAAATTCAGAGAAGGTCTCAATCATGAGCTAACATTTAACCTGAAACCAGGAAAGTATTAGCCAACTGAATACAAACAAAAATTATGAATACCCTAAATTCTATGTAGGGATTTAGAAAATTCAGGATAATAAAAGAGTACAGAAGCCTGATAAATAAGATGCCATGCAGGACTAGATGAGGGGAAAGTGGCAGGTGAGATAACTCACAGCCTGGGACCATCCAAATGCAATGAAATGTTGCTGCAGAATATTATACAGGGGTGTGATATAAACTGATTTATATAGAAACAGTCATCTAGCCACTGTGGAAAAGAATTGCGACCTAAATTTGGAAGTGTGGGAACCAGAAGATGTGTGCAGTTCAGGGGAGAGACGGTGGCCACCTGGGTAAATGGAGGGCAGGGGAATGGAGCGTATTAGGACTGATGATCTATTTCATGATTTATTGGATATTAGGGGTGGGACGAGAGGAGGAAATAAGTGTAGAAAACTCCCAGGGGTCCAGATGGTGCTTTCTAGGACGTTGGGACATATCTGGAGATGGCTGTTTTTGTTTGAGTAGATTCTGTGGTCATAAAATGGATTAAACAAACAGTCTGGACAGGTGATTCTGCAAAGACCAAAACTGCAAATACAGCAGTTCCCTTTGGTGCCCTATATCGTGATGATTTCCTTTTAACAGTTTCCTTCTTTCCATAATGTCTAAAAACATCATAATTTTTCTTTTAATTTCTACTACTCTGCCCTACACATGCTATTGAAGTAAAAGAGGTAGTTAGAGAATGTGAAAAGGAAGTGAATTCCCATTAATTCAAATCAATCCCTAAAATGAAATATCTATTTCCTTCCCCCTTATTTATACATATCATTAGTCTATCATTAAATAACTATCTCTCCGTATGATATATACTTTGACACATTCATCTGAGACAAAAATAAGTGAAAAGCAAAAACGTGAGACTCAAGAGGTTCCTTTTCTCCTGACAGCCAGCATTCAATCACTTCTTTCAAGTGTATTTAGGAGGTTTAGGAGCTACTTTGGAAAGAATGAATAAGGTCATCATTTGAAAGTCTCTGCTTGACCTAGGGAAATACATGCATAGGAAAAAATGCACCAGCTGAAACTTTTTGAAATGATCTTTTCACAACAAATGGGAATCTTCTCATTCATATTGACAGCCTTTCTCAGTTCTTAACAAGAAAACAATATTTTATCAACCTATTTAGCAGGATTAGCATACAACAGTTATGAATTATATTTTTATATCATATACCTATATTGTAATATAGTGGTGGAATGCCTCTTTGATTTATATTTATCATCTAATGTTATTTAATTTTTTTACAATTAAAACAGATGTCATATAATAGGTAGGATTATGAAACTACTTATAGGGAGACCTTTGTCCTGATCCTGAATCCACCACCCAACACATAGGTGGATGATGTTTAGCAACCACCTTAAAATTTTCTGAAACTCAGTGTTCTTATCTGTATAATATGATACACAATATTTTAAAAGTGTAGTTTTTAGCTGTGGCATACAGTTAAGAAACCTTGGATCGCTTGAGGTCAAGAGTTCGTGACCAGCCTGGCCAGCATGGTGAAACCCTGTCTCTACTAAAAATATAAAAATTAGCTGGGCATGGTGGCACACACCTGTAATCCCAGCTACTCAGGAGGCTGAGGCAGGAGAATAGCTTGAACCCAGGAGGTGGAAGTTGCAGTGTACCCAGATGGCACCACTGCACTCCAGCCTGGTGACAGAGTGAGTCTCCATCTCAAAAAAAAAAAAAAAAAAAAAAGGAAAACTCATAACTTATAGAATTTGTCTTATTTATATTCATATTGATGCAGGACAGGCAGGCTCCAAAATCAAGGCTTAGTCCTAGAGGGTTCTTGGCTTCACCCGTGAAAGAATTCTAAAGCGAGCCAGTGATGTTAAATAGCAAATTGTATTGAAGTAGCAGTATACAGCAGCAGCTCCTTGCGAAAGGAGGCTACCCTATACGCAGTTTTCACAGAACTGCATCTCAGAATCAGTGCTGCACTCATATTTATACCCACTTTTAATTATTTTCAAATTAAAGGGTGGCGTATGCAAAAATTTCTGGAATGAGAGTGGTAACTTCCTGTTTGTCATGTTGTTGCGTAGAAAGGGGCAGTAATTTTCAGGGATTGCCCTGGCAATGGTAAACTGACATGGCATGTGTCTAATGGGGAGGCGCTTCTGCCCTGTACTTGTTTTTGCTAGTCCTCAATTTGATCTAGTGCCCGAGCCCCACCTGGGCAGTAGAGTTCCACCTCTTAGCTCAATGTGATGCCAAATCACAGGTTACATTCATTCAACAATGTTTGTTTTCAGTGCCCACTATATTCCAGCTACGATTTAAGCATCTGGCTCCCCAGCAATGAACAAGAGAAATGATATTCCCCTTCTCACGAAATTTACATCCTAGAAGCAGAAAATAATTTAAAACATAAAAATTTCTGATAAAAAATTTCAGCCATCTGTGAGATGGAGAGAAAATGAACAAGAAAATTTGATAAGAAAGTGAATAGAGTGGGGCATGATGGGGATTCAATTCAGATTGACTGACTAAGGGAGCCTCTGTGAGATGAGAACTGAGCCCGACATCGGAAGATGGAACCAGTCTTGCAAAGACATACAGGTGGAGGGAAGTGCAGAAATTAAGGCAAAGCCTTCTCTGCAGAAAGCATAAGCTTGATATGTTCAAAAAGCACAGAAGATGGGAAACTGTAGTTTACTTAAGCAAGCAGTAGGGTTGTAGGAGATGAGATCATGCATATATTTGATGGGTTATTTGCTGTGATTTAACAACAGCTGTTCATGAATAGCTGAATGTATTTGGCTACTTGTATTTACATGAATGTAAATAAATATGACAAAGGTAAACTAACTAGGGTGCTCATTGCATATTTGCTTGCACCTCCATTTAAAAATACCTGCTCAGCTCCCACTAAAGAGAAAAACCTTTTTGAAACACAAATGACTAAGATATTATTCTAATGATAATGCCGAAATGTTCTAATGTATTTATAAACAACTAATTTGCCAACTTTAATACTTAACCATTTTAAGTGAAAAATTATATGACATACATCACAGCTGTGTAGTACAATATAATTTGAAATCACAGGCTTGAAAATTAGTAATTTTAAGGCTTTGATATGGTCACAAAACACAGAATCTCAAAGCAGAATTATTTCAACATTTCCATCACATTTAATTCTGTACTTCATCTGTTTTTGAAATGCAAAAATCAGCCACAACATAGGCAAGCATAATTCT